>NC_000012.12:76248006-76399521 GCF_000001405.40 Homo sapiens
AAAAAAGTGATTTTTCTTCAAAGGCAGAAACTATATCTTCCAACTGTTCACTATATAATCATACTTGAGAAGATGGTCTGGAGCAAAGGGCACTCAGTGCCTAACTTGCAATACCTGCAGAAACCAAGAGAACTTTGGAGAATTGTGGCTCAGTGCTGCTTACTTTATGTCACTGTTTGGCTCAGGACGAACCACCCTAGAATGTCCTCTTTGGCATATTGATTATTAGCTGTTTATTTTGAGAAACTGCAGACAGCAGAGTAACTCTGAAAAGCTGCCTTTCTGTAAAAGAAATTTACATCTATAAAGGAAATTTCTATGAGTCAAGGTATCTCTATCAGGAAGAGATTATTTAACCCAAGCTTGTCCAACCCACAGCCCAGGATGGCTTTGAATCCAGCTCAACACAAATTCATAAACTTTCTTAAAACATTATGAGATTTTTTTGCAATTTTTTTTTAGCTCATTAGCTATTTTTACTGTTAGCGTATTTTATGTGTGGCCCAAGACAATTCTTTTTCTTCCAATGTGGCCCAGGAAAGCCAAAAGATTAGACACCCCTGATGCAACCTATATCAGGTTACTCTGGAGACAACCTTTATTACCTGAGATTTTTTTCTGTATAACAAGGCAAGCCTTATTCGCCATGCATTTCTTACCCTCACTCTCCTGTAACCTATTTCCACCACCCCATAGAAATCCCAAGCTCCTGTTCCTTTCTGTAGGTCAGATTGTTTTATTATATAAGCTTCAATTATCTAATCCTTTGAGTCTCATATTTCTGTGTGATTCTCATGCATACATAATATAATTGAAATTGTTTTTCTCCTATTAATCTGTCTTATGTCAATTTAATTTGTAGCCCAAAGAACCTGGAAGGGTAGGGAGACGCCATTCTCCCAACACCAGCTACATTAGGAAACAGATACATAATAGACTTGCTCCAAGAAAATTCACTCTGTTCATTACCATAGGTTTATCCTTAACCCTAATTGTTTCCGGGTGAAGAGGATGGACCACATGGAACTACAGGGTCTTCTTTATCCTAGAGAAGGTGTCTCTAAGTCTTACAACACTAAAACTTGGCCAAGTAGCCTTCTTTGCACCATCCCTTTAGGACCACACCAAAATTGTAGGTATGGCAAATAGGATGAGGCAAAAACAAAACAAAACAAAACAAAGTCCCCCAAAAATCTAACCCAACAAAGAAAAGAAAGGAATGGAGTAGACCTGCCCAGAGCCAAATCAAAGCCACTTCTCATCACTCCTTAGAAATCAACAACCATAACCTTCTAGTTGGCCATCAGCACTATCTCCTCCCTAGAGAAGACATTTGTGGTTTCTGTGCCACTTTTCCTAAACCCCAGATATTAGAAAATAATCTCCATTTACCCAAATCAGGAAGGGGAAAACATCACCTTATAGAAGAATAAAAGCTTCTTCTATCAGTCATTTTTCACCTTGTAGTTCAAGGACCTTCACTGAAAATAGGACTTCTATCATGTTGCTGAGAGAACATCTGGAGAGATAATTTAAAACTGGGATTGTCAGGATAACACCACCCATGCGTGTACCCTTTTGGACAGGGTTTTAATTCATTGTGGTTGGTCTGAGCCCGCTGGGAGCTGAGTTCTGCACTGAAAGGCATAATAAGATTGCCTGACTTTCTATGTGCCTGTGTCATCTATCAACTCTGTGGTTGATGAAATGACATAAAATAATCAGATAAGCTTCTGATGCAAAGATCACAGTGACAAAAAGTAGTGAGATGAAACAGAGCTAGAACAAATTCATTCCTTTGTTTAAAACTTTAAGCCAGAGAGCTTGTGAACCCAGGGCATTGTCATTCAATATCAGGATTTAACATTTATAACCAAACACTGGATTATAGCCATGCTAAAAGGTAAATATTCCAAGAGTCTCACAACTTAGAGTCACCTTAAACATGATTAGTTTCAGGGGTCACAAACTGACCATGGGCCATGTAGTGTGTAGACACATTGTGGGGCCTGCAGTTTGGATTCTTTTTTCAAATGGAATTTGATAGCACGTTTAAGAATCAGAAGGTTTTAGGGGGATGGGGGAGGGATAGCATTAGGAGAAATACCTAATATAAATGATGAGTTAATGGGTGCAGCAAACCAACATGGCACATGTATACATATGTAACAAACCTGCACATTGTGCACATGTACCCTAGAACCTAAAGTATAATTAAAAAAAAGAAAAATAAATAAACTTACATACATACATACAAAAAAAATCAGAAGGTTTTACATAAAAAATGAAGATTTCTGGCTTCTCTTGAAAAATCAAAAGATTTTTCAACACAGGACTCACATTCCCGCATAAAAACTGTCTATTGGTCTGAGTAACAATGCTGCTCTTTAGAAGAAATATGCACAGACGCCCCTCCTCCCTCTTGTGTCTCCAATGCAGAGGCCGAATGCCAGCCACTATTTGTCATGATACTGTCACTATTTTCCTAGAGCTAAGGGGGAAATGAAGAGCTTCTTACACTTGGCTTCTCTCATTCATATTTTTTTGCCTTGCCTCTGTAGGCATCTGAGTGTAGGGCCTAATTTGGTTGATAGTACCCCATCTTGATGTGTGGGTCCCCATATAACATCTCCAAGTACCACATCTTGATGTGTGCATCCCCATATAACATCTCCAGTCTATGCTTAATGACAGGCACTTCGCCCTTCCTGAGGCAGCCACCTGCATCTTTAGTCAGCTGTGAACATTAGAGAGTTCTTCATATTGAACTCAAACGTGTCTTCCTTTAGTTTCCCCTGGTCCTAGTACTCTTCCTGGAGCCATACACCATAGAGAGCACTAACAAATAACAAATACTGTACTAAAGTTTGTAAAGGACCTAGCTCAGTGCCTGGCATGCCATAGGTGCTCCATGAATGTTGTTGCCTTCCCTCTTCTTTTTTTTTTTCCCCATTTCACAACTTTTCAATGAACATTTGTTGAGTGCCTATTATGTGCAAGACATTGTACTGGGAGCTACAAATAAAAAAAGATTAATAAAACACAGTCCCTGAATCCTAGACATTTATAATCTAGTAGACTGAGACTGATCAGGGTGCATTCTCCTACAATGCTGGGCAAAATAGATGCACAGGACAGGACTCCCAAACTAGGATGGGACATGCTACTCGATTTTTAGAACTTATTTAGTTACATTTATTGTGGGGAAGCAGGGGAGTCCAGGTGTGCAGTATGAATACAGTCTAGTACCTAAAGACTGGTGTGTCCTTTGGGAACAGAATCACACTGCCCATGGCTCAGTGAAGATATATAATAAATTTGGCTTTGTATTAGGGGATTAAGACCTAAAGAGACTTGGTATCAGTTGGAATACACCTTCTCTAATACTTTCATTTGGAAATCTTAGGAATGTGATACATTCTGAGATAGTAGCAAGCATAGTGAGAAAAAGGACAAAGAGAAAGGGCCCCGACCCTTTTTTAGTTTTGGTAGATTACAAATAACATGGAAGACGGTTTCGAGGGTAGAGAGGCACCAGAGGCAGAGGCCGAACTTGGGACCAGAGGTCAATGTGCCCGCTGAGTGGGGTCCACGTTGCCCCTCCCTCACCCCAGGCGACCTTGTTTCCTATTAGTTGTGGCCTGGAGGATGACCTCAGTTTGTGACCTGGGCAACTAGAGAATGTTTAAGGTAAGATAATTTACTTTAAAAGGAGGAATTCTGAGAAGTGGAGGGGATACGAGGGTTTTTGTGGGGGTGTTTACGTCTGTTTGGTCTTTTGTTTTTGTTTTATTTTGTTTTTGAAATGGAGTCTTGCTCTATCACCCAGGTTGGAGTGCAGTGGCGCGATCTTGGCTCACTGCAGCCTCTGCCTCCCGAGTTCAAGTGATTCTCCTGCCTCAGCCTCCTGAGTAGCTGGGATTACAGGCATGTCCCACCACCCCTGGCTAATTTTTGTATTTTTAGTAGAGACGGGGTTTTGCCTGACATCAGGTGATCCACCCATTTTGGCCTACCAAAGTGCTGGGATTACAGGCGTGAGCCACCATGTCTGGCTTTGTGGGTTTTTGTTTTTGCTTTTGTTTTTTAACATAAGTCTGTAGAGAGTGCTTCTGCTCCACTTTACAGGAGGAGAGGAGGAAGCCTCTTGTTTTACTCTGCCCCAATTGCCCTTGCCAAAGATTTCTGGCAAAGGACGCAAAAGAGTGCAAGAGCATAGCCAATCTGAGGAGCGGCACTAGGCAGACGAGCTTCCTGGCGTTGCAGAGGGAGAACCCAGACCAGGCCAGGCGCCACAGCCACACGCTGCCCCCAAGGCTGTTTCCCAAAGTGGCACCTGCAAGGCTACGGGTCCTGGACTGCTGGGCTGTTGAAGTACATTCGTGCACTGATAGAATGACGCCTGCAAAGGAACAGAGTCGAGGATTCAGGCAGGGGTAGATTGTGTGCGTGTGCACACTCTGTCTCCCGCACTCCACGTTTCCATCCTGGATACCTATACTGCATAAAATGGGTAAGTTTTTGAATTTAAAAGTCAAGGTCACAGACTTGCCTAGTCCTAAATATTTTATTCTGTATGTTTTCAGGGTGGATAAACTGCCCAACCTTTGTATTTGAACCATTAAGAAAAATGCATCTCAGGTCTTTTTAGAAATATATATAATTTCAAGTCAGGATTAAACTATGAAAAAGATTGATGCCCACAAAGTGAACACAAATCTTAGTCATCTCTAAATAAACTAGATTCTACGTTTGGATCTAGAACAGGGAAAGCGAGGAGTCTGGTTACCTGCATCCTCTCCAAACTCCTCCAGAAGCTTATGTTCAAGTGCTACACTTGAAGAGGCATTTTAACTATTATTATTTTTCTTATATTTCTTCCTTTTCCAAATAGGAAAATTTAAGTTACTAATCAAACTGAAACTTGTTTCAAAGCTGGTAAACAGAATAGTGAATTTGCCCAAAACATGTCATGTGGAAAAGGAATGGAAATTTGTTGGTCTTTGTCCTAGGCAGCATATCCTATAAATCTCTCTCACACAACTAAAAGCACGAGCACAAGAAGATATATGTACTAGGATATTTTCTGAAGAATTATTTTTCTCTTCTGTTAAAATTGTTAGGCCCGTTGTGGTGGCTCATGCCTGTAATCCTAGCACTTTAGGAGGCCAAGGCAGGCGGATCACCTGAGGTCAGGAGTTCAAGACCAGCCTGGCCAACATGGTGAAACTCCATCTGTACTAAAAATACAAAAATTAGCCAGGTGTGGTGGCGTGTACCTGTAATCCCAGCTACTTGGGAGGCTGAGGCAGGAGAATCACTTGAACCCAGGAGGTGGCAGTTGCAGTGAGTTGACATTGCGCCACTGCACTCCAGCCTGGGTGACAGAGCAAGACATCTCAAAAAAAAAATTATTACATATGTACATTTCCATAATCAATATATAGTATTGTTTTATATGCTTAATTTTCATATAGTATATAATTTTATTCTGTATATTTTTCACTCAAGATTTTTAATATTGAAACATGTTACATATACATCTAGCCTGTCAGTTTAATGATGGTATTCCATTATATGACATCACAGTTTACTGATTGATTCTTATAGCATGAAGCATTGTCTTTAATAGCAAAGAACTGAAAAAAGCATGTCTGCAAACAAAGATTAATGAATAAATAATGATATATCTATATCAGAATATATGCAGCTATTATAAAGAATGAGGGAAAGGCATTAACTTGGAAAGATGTCCATAATAAATTGCTAAGTATATATTTTTTTGTTAAAAAATCTAAAAAACAGAACCTATATTATATACTGTATATGCATATGAGTTCATATAAACATGGAAAAACATTCCCAATGGACAGCCAGTAAAGTGAATACTAACAGATTTACATGGCAGTGGATCTGGATGTGAGAGGAGGAGACCATACCGTGTTACTCTGTATACTTCTCTATCAGCAGTCCCCAACCTTTTTGGCACTAGGGACCAGTTTCGTGGAAGACAGTTTTTCCATGGGGAGGGGGCAGTTTGGGGATGAAACTTCCACCTCAGATCTTCAGGCATTGGTTAGATTCTCATAAGGAAAAGTACAAAAATTAGCCGGGTGTGGTGGTAGGTGCCTGTAATCCCAGCTACACAGGAGGCTGAGGCAGGAGAATCACTTAAACCCAGGTGGCAGAGGTTGCAGCGAGCCGAGATCGTGCCATTGCGTCCA
Source organism: Homo sapiens (assembly GCF_000001405.40). Taxonomy (NCBI): domain Eukaryota; kingdom Metazoa; phylum Chordata; class Mammalia; order Primates; family Hominidae; genus Homo; species Homo sapiens. The sequence goes on from NC_000012.12 coordinate 76,254,231, forward strand.
GCCTGGGAGACAAGAGTGAGACTCCATCTCAAAAAACAAAAAAGGTTCTCATAAGGAGCGCAACCTAGATCACTCATATGCACAGTTCACAACAAGGCTTGTGCTCCTATGAGAATTAAATGCCACTGCTGATCTGACAGGAGGTGGAGCTCAGAAGGTAATGCTTGCTTGCCTACTGCTCACCTCTTGCTGTTCACTTCCTGCTGTGTGGCTGGTTCCTAACAGGCCATGCACTGGTACCAGTCCATAGCCTGGGGGTTGGGGACCCCGTTCTATATTGTTCAATTTAACATGTATTACTTTTATAGTTTAAAACAGCAATAATAATAAAGCATTAAATTAAAAAAATCGTGAACAATTTTTGCTTCAGATTCTTCTTTGTAGATGATTGGTCTTAACACAGCATCTCCCAAACATTCCTTCCTTCCCATGCCCACAAAAGTTCCAAGCTAATTCCCCATTCTTGTGCCAGATAATAAACTAATTTACACGAATGTGCGAATGGTTGATGTCATCTTCACTGTTACTCTTCACAGGGACATTTGAATATTTTGAACTGCTGTTGACAGGATGTAAGCTGTAACTTCCTTCATCTGAATCCTTCTCTAATTTCAGACAGAGTTGAGAGACTGTGGGAGCAGCTTTAGGGAAAGGAGTCCTTCTGGTAGCCCTCACTCTTGGACACATCACTGAACGCATACTCCAAGTACATGTGTCCAGCATCCATCAGGGGAAAGAGTCCCTGTACAGTTCCTTATGATTACAATTTCAGGGGTCCCTGTTTCTTTCCATGTTGAAAAATTAAAAGGAGTTTCTACAGGTGCATCATCCTGTTCCAATGGAATCATCCAAACAGATTCTAGGAGGACATATTTCATTTTCTGGGCAGCAAAGGCGGGAAGAGGATTTCATTTCTGTTTTCTTCCCCCTCACTACACATAAAGTTCCTGAATCTACAGAGAAATCGATGATTGCATTTTTACATTTCTCCTAGTGGACGGGCCACCCGGATTTATTCTGTGAAAATAGAACTGCTTGGACCATTCTCAACAAGCTGGGGCAAAGTGTCTATTAATAATGTTGGCAATATCTCCTAAGCTGATGTTCATGTCAGTGCTAATCCCCCTGAAAAGGCCCTGACATCCCAGGTCCTGCTTCTGATGGTAATAGTAGTTACAGGCATGCATTGAGGCAATTGCACATTCACAATGCCCAAGAACTGCTCCTGGAAATGTTTCTGTTGATAGGTTGGTGTTTTTCAGCAGACTCATTTGGGTACTTTGAGTTGTGGTGAAGATGTGTGAAAATGATTTCATCTACATTTCAGGGTTACTTTAAATTCTGGGGGGAAGTGCCGCCAGCAAGATTCTCGTCCCCACCTCACCCTACTGAGACCCTCACTTAAGGTCAAGAAGGCATCTGGTTGGCCCGAGCTGGATCCAGGGATTTGTTCTTATTTCTCTTGAGCTCAGTGCTGTCTTTGGCTCCTCACTGAATGTTGCTGCTTCGTGGATGTCCCCACAACAGAAACCCATTTAACAAAAAGAGAGAGCCAAGAATATGAGGGTCATCACAGCACTCTTCACCTATATCCTTTAGAACAGTGTTCTCATCTAGAGCCAATTTTGTCCCCCAGAGAACATTTCGCAATGTCTGGAGACATTTTTGGTCATCAGCACTGGGAGGTGGAGGAGCAGATGCTGCTGATATTTAGTAAATAGAGGTCAGGAATGCTGCTAAACATCCTACAATGTGAGGACAGCTCCCCACAACCAAGAACTATCCAGCCCCAAATATCAATGATGACAAAATCAAGACACTCTGCTTTGAATCAGTCTATTGCTGGGGTGTAAGTCAAGTCTCCAGGGGGACTAGAGATTTTCATGTACTTTACTCTCCATTCCAGAAACTAAATGGGACTGAGTGTCTCTTGAGTTCTGTGATACCAAATTAGCATTAGAATAAAATCTTTCACAAGCATTAGATACATCACCTTCAGAGAATATAAATGAGACATTTCTGAATCTGAATAAAGACATCTCTTTTGGTGTTATTGCAGCATTGGACTAAACAAGGTAGAACCGTGTCACAACTCCTCTCAAGGGTTATTACCTCCTTTCAAGGAGTAATCTGTGGGCCACTTGAATTAGAGTCGCCTGGAAAGCTTATTAAAAATGCTGACTCCTGAGCCCCATCCTCTGCCTACTATATCAGAATCTGAGAGTTCTACATTCTCTCCGCCCTCACCTCATCAGCCTCCACCACATAGGAATGACCAAATGCCTATGTGGTTCTTAGAACACTGCCTGACATCCAACAAATGTTAATGATTAATATTATTTACCATGATCATTGTTGGAGTATAACAAAAAATAAATATGTGGTCTTTATTCCTTCCTAAAACCCTTGGCATTTACTGTTGCTTGTATGCTACTTAGATGACTGTGGAGGCAACCTAGTTAGCTTCAGTATTGGGGCTGGTTGCCAGAAAAACTTTCTGATTAGAAGGTTAGAACTTTTAGCCCCATCCCCTGTCACACCTCTACACACAGGAAAGGGGTTGGAAATTGAGTGCAATTATCAACAGTCAATGATTTAATCAACTATGCCTACATGATGTGTGGTGGACATGGAAGGTATGAGCCTGCCCAGAAAAGACATGGACTCTCAGCATCCCAAGCCTCTATACCTTGCCCTAATGATCATCTCTCTCATTTGGCTTTTCCTGAATTGTACCCTTTATAAGTAAAGCATTTTCCTGAGTTCTCTGAGTCACTCTAGCGAATTATCAAACCCCAGTTGGTGGGGGGGAGTGTCATAGGAATCCCCAAACCAGTAGTCAGTTGGCCAGAAGTGTGGGTAGCCCTGGGACTTCATTTGTGGCTGACATCTAAAATGGGAGTAGGCTTGTGGTCCTGAGCCCTCAACCTATGAGGTCTGTGCTAACTCTGGGCAGTTAGTGTTAGAACTGGATTGAATTGTTGGGCACCAAGTTGGTGCTGGAGAATTGGAGAATTTGTTGTGTTGAAATGACATATTTGTTGTCATAAACACACACACACACACACACACACACATAACTATCTTAGCCTAAGTTACAAAGAAACCATGGGAAGAGAGAATGAATCAGATACCAAGATAATAATACAATAAAATATTTAATAATTTATAATATTAATAAAATCTTAATAGGATAACTTTTCAATAATATCTTCAGCAAGTTAGCATCTGTGTGGTGGCTCACATCTATAATCCCAGCACTTTGGGAGGTCAAGTTGGAAGGACTACTTGAGCCCAGGATTTCAAGACTAGCCTGAGTAGCATAGTAAGATATGCTATCGCGACAAAAAATTAAAAAATAAGCTGTGCATGGTGGTAGATGCCTGTGGACCCAGGCTGAGATCCCAGGTTGAGGATGCAGTGACACTGTCTCAGAAAAAGAAAGAAAAAGAAAGAATTTTCTTTTTTTTTTTTTTTTTTTTTTTGATGGAGTCTTGTTCTGTCATCCAGGCTGGAGTACAGTGGCGCAATCTCGGCTCACTGCAAGCTCCGCCTCCCAGGTTCATGCCATTCTCCCGCCCCGGCCTCCCGAGTAGCTGGGACTACAGGCGCCCACCACCACGCCAGCTAACTTTTTTGTATTTTTAGTAGAGACGGGGTTTCACCGTGTTAGCCAAGACTGTCTCGATCTCCTGACCTCATGATCCGCCCGCCTTGGCCTCCCAAAGTGCTAGGATTACAGGCATGAGACACCGCATCTGGCCCTTTTTTTTTTTCTTTCTAATGAGGTCTCACTATGTTGGCCAGGCTGATCTCAAACTCCTGGGCTCAAGTGATCCTCCCACCTTGGCCTCCCAAAGTGCTGAGATTACAGGTATGAGCCACCATACCCAGCTCACTTTTATTCTAATTTCTGATTCCATATTGATATTGTGCTTAGATATATCAACTGTAGAGACCCTATATTCAAAGCAAGATATTTTTAAAATGTCAGCCTCCCCCAGAATGTTCCAAGATATTAAAAGAGACATTAACTCAGAATCTTTATTTCATCAGGAAAAATTTCTTCTATAAACAGTTAGTAACTCCCAAGGGCTGTCACTGGTACAATACTAAGAATATTGCCTCTGCAGAAATAAATGAATAACACATTTTTAGATGTTGGAATGATGTTATCTGCACATTATCTGTGGGAGGACAGAAGAGTCTCCATAGTCTCTACACATCATTTGCTGCTGCTTCTTTTTTTTTTTCTTTTTTGAGATAGAGTTTCCCTCTTGTCACCCAGGCTGGAGTGCAGCGGCACGATTTCAGCTCACTGCAACCTCCGCCCCCCTGGGTTCAAGTGATTCTCCTGCCTCAGACTCCCAAGTAGCTGGGATTACAGGTTCCCACCACTATACCCAGCTAATTTTTGTATTTTTAGTAGAGATGGGGTTTCACTATGCTGGCCAGGCCGGTCTTGAACTCCTGATCCACCCGCCTCAGCCTCCCAAAGTTCTGGGATTACAGGTGTGAGCCACCGCACCTGGCCATCATTTGCTTCTCAATGGCAGAACAACAATATGTGAACAGCAAGAGAGAAAATGTAAGACTAATTGCTTCAGGAAAGATAACTTTGGTACTGCAATTTAGCCATGAGGGACAAGTCTTAGTGGACAGCTGGTTCTTCATCCATCGGAAGACTGTGGTCATCTGTTCATTCTACTCTTTCTTCTCTGTGGATGAAGTTTTCCGTCATTGTCTTCACACTACCTTGACTTTCTCTGGATTCTATTGACTTAGACAGATTACTGGCTCCTAGTGGACTACTGCATCTGAGCAAATGCTTACTCCCTATTTAATTGTACCTGTCTTTACCTATTTATTCAGAGGAGCCAGCTGCCCTGGACCCCATCCCAATCTCTGTCAAAGGTCACTCTACTTCCCAACCCAATGTATCCCACATTCCTAGAAGACAGAGGCTAGGGAGAGATTAGAAGAGAGAGGTTAGAATGCCAGGATTAAAAGGCAGCTTGTTTTCTTCTTTTTCACATGTCAAACTGTTAAATGCCATTAGGCCAACTCACTTCCCAGCATGTGACAAGGACACTGCTGGCAGGGAACATCTCCTTTCTCTGACCCTCTTTTGCTCTTCTTAATCCTCAAATATTGAAGTTTTTATCTTCAGCAAATGAAGAGGTAATTTAAACTGCTTACAGAGAGAAACCGAATGGGGGAAAGGGTATATGTTGTTAGTAACCCCCCACAGTTTAAGTGTTTTTAATTGTACATATAGGTTTTCTGTTAGAAAATGACTAGAATTTTCTAAGGCAGCACTGCCTAATAGAAATATAGTGTGAGCCACACAATATAATTTTTAAGTTTTTAGTAGTCATTAAAACAAGTAGAAAGATACCAGTGGAATTTTAATAACTGTATTTCTATACTGCTGCTCCTTCTATTGAATCTAACTTAAAATTCCATGTAACCCTCACATGTGGGTATGAAAAACATTAACAGGAAATGCTAATATAGGGAGTCAGTGAAGCTGGGGTAGGAAATTGATGATGTGATACCGGAAGTGATCTGGCAGGGCTTTAAAGTAATGCCAGAGGTCCTTCCAGGCAGTTCTCAACTTGCTCCTTGGCTGTTCTCCTGACACTTAAGTCAGAGCATTCTGTAGCTGTATTTTACAGAACTGTAATTGCACAGATTGTTCCTCTTACAAGAGAAATATCCAGAGCTCTAAGAAAACAACTGATGAAAACGGTATGTACCCATTTAAGAAAATCTGCCCTCGAGATATGATGTTATGATTTATTTGAATCTTACTGTGAATTAAAGCACTATCTCAGAAGGGTTTGCATTTAGATAATGACTGTGATTGTCATTTGGCTGGCTTGAAGAAATTCAAGAAATTTAAGCCATTTTTGAGCAGAGGAGGAATTAATATGGGGGGAAGAGTATCTTTCTGTTTCTCTGTTTGCTCTGATAGGGGCCACACAGGTCGTTGCATAAGGTAAACACTAACTGTGGGGCCCATGTGATTTGTTCAGCTTTAGAAAAATAATAAAGGGGCACAGTGAAGCAGAGGTGTGGTGCTGAGCACAGGTGATGGGGTAGAGGATGACAGAGAACAATATTTCAACAAATTGAATTTAAAGATCTCATTAGCTTTTATTAGCAATTATGAGTTGGTCAGCATCCCATTCATAAAATGGAAAGACATTCCTCCAGGGTTGGCAGAACAGTTGATTTCTGTAAGGTAGCTTAAGCAAGAAGGAAATGGTGTCATGCCAAAAGTGGGTTGGTTAACATCAGATGGCTTCAGTTAACTTTCCTTGTATGGGTTAAAGCAGAGGGCCTTTCATGTTATGTCAGCTCAGGTTGACTTGGTGGCTTTGGATTGGTTGCTGAGAATCTCCTAGATTTTTTTTTTTAACTGGCCCATTTCTAAATTCAGTTTAATTATGTGGAAGCTAGAATTTATTTCATTTTGATTTGGTCCCGGCTGATGGAGCCTAGTGCAGGAATCAGTCCAAAACAGTGGCCTCCCATATTTTTTTTTTTCCTTTTTTTTAGACTGAGTCTCACTCTGTTACCCAGGCTAGAGTGCAGTGGCATGATCTTGGCTCACTGCAATCTTCACCTCCCGGGTTCAAGCAATTCTCCTGCCTCAGCCTCCCAAGTAGCTGGGACTACAGGTTTATACCACCATGCCTGGCTAATTTTTGTATTTTTAGTAGAGATGGGGTTTCACCATGTTGGCCAGGATGGTCTTGAACTTCCCAGCCTCCAGAACTGTGAGCAACAACTTTCCATTGTTTATAAATTACCCAGTATATACTATTTTGTTATAACAGCCCAAATAGACTGAGTCATTCACTATTTTTTTTTTTTTTTGAGACGGAGTCTCGCTCTGCTGCCCAGGCTGGAGTGCAGTGGTGCAATCTTGGCTCACTGCAACTCTGCCTCCTGGGTTCAAGTGATCCTCCTGCCTCAGCCTCATGAGTAGTTGGGACTACAGGTGCCTGCCACCACGTCTGGCTAATTTTTGTATTTTTAGTAGAGATGGGGTTTCACCATGTTGGCCAGGCTGGTCTTGAACTCCTGACCTCAAATGAGCCACCCACCTCAGCCTCCCAAAGTGCTGGGATTACAGGCGTGAGCCAATGTGCTCATCCAGCTTCAATTTCCAACCCCTTTCCCTTGCATAGTGATAGGAGTGGTGGATGGGGCTGAAAGTTCTAACATTCTAATCAAAAAGTGCTGGGATTACAGGCACTTTTTGATTAGAAGTGCCCGGACCCATAAATAGTATTTAACAATGGTAACTATGGTAGGCAAACATCAAAGCACACTGTTGCATTTTTTGGAGATTCTCTAGGTAGGCATCCAACTCTGGGAAAACAGAGGAAGACCATCATCATCAGAAAATAAATGTTCTAAAAAACTGTCTCTGAAAAGTGTTGCTCTTTAGTCCCTTGCTCTCCATGCTGGAGTTAATGAGTGTGAAGTCCTTTGAGAGTTACCTGTGCAGTGGAAATGGAAGGAGGAAAGTGCTCATTTACCTTTAAGGGGACAAAAGTGGAGCTCCACAAACAGATGCAAAGCAGCTGGAAGAGGGGTAGGGAGGAGGACTTTTGTTTAGAGAGTTTCCTTTTTCCAGATCTACTTTAAGTCTTTAATCCATTTGGAGTTGATATTTGTATATGGTATGAGATAAGGATCTAATTTCATTCTTCTGCATGTGGATATGCAGTTTTTCCAGCACTATTTATTGAAGAGACTCTTCTTTCCCTATTGTGTATTCTTGGCACCATTGTTAAAGATCAGTTGACTGTAAATACATGGATTTACTTCTGGGATCTCTGTTTCACTGGTCTACATGTCTGTATTTGTGCCAATACCATGCTATTTGGATTACTATAGCTTTGTAGTGTATTTTGATATCAAATAGTATGATGCTTCCAGCTTTTTTTTTTTTTTCTCTCAATATTGCTTTGGCTACTCAGGGTCATTAAGGATCCCATATGAATTTTAGAATTATTTTTTCTATTTCTGTAAAAAACACTGGAGTTTTGATAGAGATTGCATTGAATCTGTAGATTGCTTTATGTAGATAGTATAAACATTTTAACAATTCTTCCAATCTGTAAACATAGGGTATCTTTCCATTATTGGTGTCTTCGATTTCTTTCATCAGTGTTTTATAATTTTAACTGTACAGATCTTTCATGTCAGTTAAATTTATTCCTAAGTGTTTATTTATATTTTTATTTTTATTTTTATTTTTTTGAGACAGGATCTTGCTCTGTTGCCCAGGCTGGAATGAAGTGGTGCAATCACAGCTCACTGCAGCCTCAATTTCTTGGGCTCAAGCAATCCTCCCACCTCAGCTCCCCAAGAAGCTGTATCTACAAGTGTACACCATCACACCTGGCCAAATTTTAAAATTTTTGTAGAGACAAGGTCTCACTATGTTGCCCAGGCTGGTCTCCTGGGCTCAAGCAATCCTCCTACCTCAGCCTCCCAAAGTGCTGAGATTACAGGTGTGACCCACTCCACCCAGTACTAAGTTTTTTTTTTTTTTTTTTTTTTTTTAATTAAAGCTATTGTAAACGGGATTGTTTTCTTGATTTCATTTTCAGATAGGCTGTTAGTGTATAGAAATGCAGCTAATTTCTTTATGTTGATTTTGTGTCCTGCAACTTTACTAAATTTATGTATTAGTTCTTATAGATTTTTGGTGGAGTCTTTAGGGTTTTCCATATATAAGATCATGTTATCTGCAGAGGCAATTTCACCTTAATGGAAAAGACCAAAGTAATTTTTACTCTTCCTAACCTTTCATAGTAATAAATGACATTTATCGAGAGCCCACCACACAGCAGGCACTGTTCTAAGCACTTCACAGGGATCATCACATCAAATCCCCACAATAACCCTTGCGGTTAGCACTGCCATTATTATCATTTTGGAGATGAGGATTGCCCACCACTCTACCAGCAAGTGGCAGATCTAGAGTAGATAGGAGTGCTGTATTTGGAAGAGCACGTTCCTGGGGTAAGAGTCACAGTCCTGCCTTGTTCCTGACTAGTAAATGAGACTCTGAGGACCTGGATGGCTTCACACAAAAGTACAGAGTAGGCTGAGGGCTGAAATGAAATCATGGTTGAGATATTCTAGACCCCTTTCATCAAGTTCTTAAAAGCCCGTACTCTCCTTAGAATAAAAGGAGTTTAAAGGGAGAAACAAGCAATAGAACTATTTTCTTCCATTTTTCTAAAATTTTATTATTTTCTAGATCAATAGTCTTATACTCTCAACTCTTTTAAGGAAAGAGGTTATAGGATATTTTGTATAGGTCAACAATCTCTTGTCAGAAATGGTTTTGGCTGGATAATTCATAATTTAGAATTTTAGAGATTTTTAGAAAGGTTATACATTCATATATTATATTTTACATAATACCAGCAGTGGAGTCTGCGGATGATATGGACTGAATTGTATCCCCTCAAAATTCATATGTTGAAGCCCTCAACTCCTGTAATGGTTAATTTTATGGGTCAAACTGACTAGGCTACGGGGTGCCCAGATTAAACATTACTTCTGGGTGTGTCTGTGAGAGTGTTTTCAGATGAGATTAGCATTTGAATTGGTGGACTCAGGAAAGTAGATTGCCCTTGTCAATATGGGGAGGCCTCATTCAACCCGTTGAAAGCTTGATAGAACAAAAGCAGAGGAAGGGATTTGTCCCCTTCCTGCCTGCATGCTGGAGCGGGAACGTCGGTCTTCTCCTGCCTTTGGACTGGGATTCACAGGATCATAAGAAATGATACGGATTAAAAATTATTTTTTTTATAAAATTAAATAAAAACCAAACTTTCTCCTGTCATTCGTTTTATTAACATGGATTTTTGTCTAAACAATTTCTGTTTGAGTAAATGTCAACAATCTTTCCATCATCATTGAAAGCATATTACTCCAGGCTAGCTATAAACTACCTCACATTAAGTAACATCACCAGATCATCTGTGGTGTTTTTTTCACCTATATTTATAATATCATCATCATTATCTTCTGTAATCCTCACACTTACTATATTTGCAACATTTCAGCAATCTCCCCATCACTGAAAATATACAACTGCATCACTACCAATGATCAGTATTTCTTTACTATCAGCTTCTTCTAACAACTTCAGCCAATAAAAACTTAGTGTAATAATAAAGATAGACATAATTGTTTTTTCATCAATGGCCCCACATATTTCTAAGTTTGTGTTGGTGGTTTTATTTTCCAACATTGGAGTAGCAAAATTCTGTTCCTAGCATTTGTTGATGTTGACTTAATAATATCATTCTGAGCATTGGCAGCTCTGTAAATGGTATCCTTGAGTATAACCTCTTTAAGGAAGTCTTAGATTCCTGGCTTCTGTTCACTGAAGCAAACATACAGTTTGGAAAGAAGTGCTCAGACTTGCTTTTCAGTCTCTAAAGCTCTTTGGCTCCAAGGCTACACTCCTGATGTCATGTTGCAAGGAAAAGAAAAACTGAAAACATTATGCAAGAAGTTCAAGAGGAGGGTTTGTAAAGCCATGGTCCAGAAGTAATAGAACTTTACATTTTTCTTCTACATCAGCTTGCTGGTAATAAGCCCATATTGCTGGTACAAAGTGGCCATTGAATCATCATAAAGTAGTTCTCTAATTACTCATACTTTCTTGTTTGCACAGGTAATTTGCATATACCTTTCAAATTTCTTGGATGTAGGCTTTCCTCAGGTACTGTCAATTTTATCTTGTTTTAAAAACACAGTGCTGGCCAGGCACAGTGGCTCATGCCTGTAATCCCAGCACTTTGGGAGGCCAAGGTGGGTGGATCCCAAGGTCAGGAGTTCAAGACCAGCCTGACCAACATGGTGAAACCCCATCTCAACTAAAAATACAAAAATTAGCTGGGTGTGGTGGCACGTGCCTGTAGTCCCAGCTGCTTGGGAGGCTGAGGCAGGAGAATCACTTGAACCTGGGAGGCAGGGGTTGCAGTGAGCGGAGATCATGCCACTGCACTCCAGCCTGGGTGACAGAGTGAGACTCTGTCTCAAAAAAAACAAAACACAGTGCTGCATGCCAAGCACAGTCCATCTGAGTTTAGTGTTATTAAAACCTATAGAAGCTTTCTCATGAGTCAGTACCATGGGAAAACAGTACCAATATAGAGCTTTAATATCAAATTTAATATCAAAATTATAAATAGGTTCAGGACTAAGGTTTACATCAGACAGTATTTTAACAAGTTTATCAAGATTTTGGCTGTTTCTAAGATATGTTAGTTCTGAATAAAAAAGAACTATTATTTGAATTATCAAATAATTAATAAATTATTATTAAATAATTAATATTTGAATTATTAAAATTAATCAAATTATTATTTATTAATAAATTTAATTCAATAAATTTAAGTTAGTATTTAATAATTTATTACATAAATACTAAATTTATTTAATACATTTGATAAATTTATTTATTTAAATAATTAAAATTATTTAATTTTAATAATTTAATAATTTTAAAAATATCTTTAATTTGTTTCAACATCATCAGGAGTGATTTTATTACATATTTGTAAGGCATTTTACACCATGATGCTCTTAAATTCTGTGTCTTTTTTTCTATTTTACTCTATTAGCATTAAAGCTCTTAAATTCCGTAGGCAGCTGTGATGGTTAAATTTTTGTGTGTCAGATTGGCTAGACCATGACCATGACCACGATCATTGGCATGACCATTTGTTTGGACAAATACCAGTCTAGACGTTGATGTGAAGTATTTTGTAGATGCAGTTAAGATATACCACCAGTTGACTTTAAGTAAAGGAGATTACCCTTGATATTGTTGGTGGACCTCATACAATTAGTTGAGGGCCTTAATAGCAAAAACAGATTGTTTTGGGGAAGAATTTCTACCTTAAGACTGTAACATAGAAACCCTGCCTGAATTTCCAACCTATGGAATTGCCCTACAGATTTCAGATTTACCAGCCCCCCACCACCACAGCCTTCTAAATATTCACATTATTTTCAGTGTTCAATTTTTGCAGTGTATAGTAGCTTGCTTCATAACAAACTAGTAGTATATGTTCGCTTCATTGTCAAATCCACTTAATTAACATATCATCATGATTTGCATTCTTTGCCCTTTAAAGTGTTTTCCTATTTTTCATTAGTTCTTAGTCATTGTTGCACAGGAAATCTTCTACAACTTGCCGTTCTGTTTTTTAAGTCATATATTGTTTTGATTCTGATACTGTATTTTTCAAGACAGATAGCAGGATCTATCTTCTGTAATAACTTTACTTATAATATTATTGATTTCAACAGGCACTTCCTTTTCTTCCTTTCCCTCTCTTCATTGTTACCTATAAGGGCAGCTTTAACTCTTCTCAAAGAGTGAAATTAACCCCAAATTTCAAAATAACAAAAATGTACACAGTAGACATGATAGTGCTGGGTAGGGGCTCTGAGACATAACCAATGGTCAAAAAGGTTTTTGCCACTATGTGAGGTTTTTTCCCACACTGGCAAAAGAGCTTCTGTTTTTCAGAGCCTTTTAAATTTTATAATTGTGGAGAAAGGATTATGAATCTGTACCTGTCTCCTGCTAAAATGTCACACATTTTGAAATGTACTTGTCCTTGTTTGACTAAGCATTAAGACAAAGTGTTCTCTGCAACGAGAGCTCTTCTTGCCACCCACTTGTGTTACACATAGTACATTAATGAGGTGACTGTGATCTCATCCTCCTGGCTTGCCTTCCTTGGCTCAGATTCCAGAGAAGCAGCCGTCAGGTCCTCCAGATCCTTTGGGCTGAGCTGACTGATGACCTTACCATGGGACTCACAGCTCCTTGCTGCTCCAACATTTTAAGTTCTGGATAAGCTAGTACCCAAAAGGAGTCCTTTTTACTACCAATACCAAATCCTCCAAGAGCTTCCCTCACTCTCTTAGGGCCTCTACTGCCCAAATGCTGGTCCCCAGTGAATATGCCTTCTCAGTCCCCAACTCTATGCCATCTGGTAGGAATATAGGGAGCTGGAGGGATTTATGGCTAAGGGATCCTGCACACTTGAATTCCATCTGTCCTGCAGTAAACGATATACACAGAAAAGGATGGTGGGCAAAGAGGCACGTTCTATTTAGCTGGGCTCTGGCTCAAGCCCCAGTGTAGAGTCTTGTGAACTGGAGTAGACCACATGCAACTTGGTGAACGTATTTTGCCTAGACGAGGCTGAGCTCTTAGGCTTTTGTCTCAGGCTCTGGCCCTGCAAAAGAAAAGGCATCCTGAAGCCTACAGCATGGCCACACCCTTCCCCGTTGGGAGTGAAATGAGAGGAAGTGGAGGGAGCACGAGGAGCTGCTAAAATCTAGTCAACTGCATCTCTGTTTTTTATCTTTGACCCATTGTTCAATAGGCTTAACATCCAGGCCCATCTTCTCTGATCTCTTAGGATAAAAAGTGCCCAAAGAGTCAGTGTCAGCAGAACATTTTTGCACGAACTGACTGGTTTAATGTTTTCCACTAAGACTGTAAACCCCAAGAAGGGTTCAGTGACCCTTCTTGCCCTTGATGGTGTTCTTGAGGGAAGAGCAAAGGTAGCAGGAATGTGGAACTCTGAGCTGCTTATGGCCAACCTAGGGGATGCTTTATGAAGTGATGGTTGAATAAATTAAAATGGAACAAGACTTCCTATAATCACAATCATCGTCTATCTCAGAATGTAGCACAAAAGATACCACTGAAGTTATTTGCTTCCTTGCTACCTTGGAGGAGAAACAAAAATCTCTCTAGCTTTGAGCTATGGCTAACTGAGGCAGTAAGAGGTGTAAATGCTGTCTTTGGAAACCTGGGATCCAAATAAATCCCAACTTCCTTTTCACTTGTGTTCCCTTCTCTACTTTGGGAAGCAAATCAGAGACATTGAAGATGGTGGCACTGCCAAATATATCAGACCTCAACATGTACTCTGTAGTAAAGTCTACCCTTCAACAAAAAAGAGCACTACCACAAGATATTTATTCTTATCTTACTCTCTGAATTAAAATCCTGACCTGAGGCACTTCTCTGTCTGCATTATTTTCAGAAGAGTCTAGATCTGAAATCTAATTATATTGCATATTAAAACACCAATATTGATGTTATTCCATCAAGCCCTGTCATACTTTGCAGGCTACATCCTTTTGGCCCCGATTTGTCTTCATTCATGTTACTTGAATCATCTTGATGAAATGCTCTGAATCTGTCTGGGAGAAAGTTTATTTTGATATCTGATCTGATCCAGACCTATTCTCAAGTCCCTTTGAAAACTCACTGGTAATATGCAGTCATTTGCTAATTGAAATTTGACCAATAATTAGCCAAGGATATTCTTTTGTTCAATTATCTTATGATAGCTGGCCAGATGCAATGGCTCACGCCTGTAATCCCAGCACTCTGGGAGGCCAAGGCAGGCGGATCACGTGAGCCCAGAAGTTCAAGACCAGCCTAGGCAACACGGCAAGACCCTGTCTCAAAACCCCCCAAAAAACAAAAACTTGTGATAGTAGTCTGAAAAGCCACCTCTATGTTATTAATACAAAATCTATTTTTGGTATTGGTGTAAGTAAAGGTTTAATACCTTCCGTGAATTACAAGTTCAAGCAAGAGATGCTTTAATTTCAGCTCTTTACCTGGATGCCAAGAAATTGCCAGAATTTTCTCAAGTCTAATTTGATATTATTAATCCCATTTTACAGATGAAGAAACTAAGGCACAAATAGGCACAACACAAGGCTCAAATTTATGTAAATATTAAAGCTAGTATTTGAACTTATAGAACTCACTGGTGGAAACTATGTTCTTAACCACTGTGCAAAACTGCTTCTCACTAAAACCCTACCTTGCCAAGGGCCCTGAGGCCTTCCACAATCTGACCCCTCACATTTCTCTGGTCTCATTTTCTTCTAAGCTCACTCTTTTCCAGTTGAACTGGACTCCTTGCAGTTACTTGAATATTTCCAATACACCCCCACTCCAGGCCTCTGAAACTACTGTCCTCTCCTTATCACCAGATATCCTCACGACATCTTCCTCACCTCTTCTGATGTCTAATCAAATGTCACCCCCACAAAGTGGGCTTCCCTGACCTCTCCATCCATAAACGAATCCTTTTTTCCCCTGCTTCCTCACCCGCTACTCTTTTAACCTGCATTATTTACCTTCATAGCACTTATTAAATATTACGTACTTACTGATTTATTTGTTTATTGTATAGACCAGACAATGAACCCATAGTGAAATTTGGTTTGGGTGGAGAAGTTGACTGTTGTTTTCACTGCTGTGTTACCAGCTCCTAGAACAGACCTAGCACATAGTAAGCACTCAATAAGTATTTCCTTGATGAAAGAGGGGAGGAAGAAAGGAAGGGAAGAATAGAGTGAGAGTAAGGAGAATTAATTAATTAATGAAGATTATAATATTGGTTGGGTAATCAGTAAGTATTTCCAACCCCAATCACATTAGCATGCAACTTTCATGATTTTCTTACCTGTACCTTGAAAGATTTCCTATGTCATTTCCTGAAGTGGCTATGGATTCTAGCTCTTCCAAAGTGCCTGGGGATGGGGACAATATGGATTAGTTATTTGTTGCTACACTCACAAACTTTAGTATTTATTAAGCACTTAACAGGGCCCATGCACTGGGCTAAGCACTTTTCCCGGCTTATCTCACTTTACTGCCACCTTAGGGCTTTTGAATTTTAATAGGAAAGAAGTAAGGACAGTGTCTACATATGTAAGCCCTGGGATCAGCCTGCCCAAACTTAAATCCTGGATGCACCATTGGGTAACTGTATGGCTCCTCTCTGTTTATCATCTATAAAGAAGATATATTAACTATTCATATGTAACAGAGTGGTTCCGAGATTTAAATGAGATTGTGCAGGATTGGCATAGAGTCTGGCACATGGCAAACAGTAAAACATCTCAGCTACCATTATGACCACTTTCCAGAGCAGAAACCAAGGCTGAAAGCCAGTATATGCCTTGTCCTAGGTCACAAAAAACTGAAAAATAGAACTGGGATTTAAACCTGCTGTTGTTTAATACCAAAGTTTTTTTTGTTTTGTTTTTTGACTAGACTGCTTTTCTGTCTTTTTTAGTCTAGCTCTTTGTTCAAAAGGCCTCCAGGGAAGTTAGTACAGTGTAGAAAATTATATCTCTCACCCAGGCAAACACATGAGTAATGTGAAGCAAACACAGCTCACTGGTGCAGCCTCAACCTCCCGGGCTCAAGTGATCTTTGCGCCTCAGCCTCCCGAGTAGCTAGGACTACAGATGTACCACCATGCCCGACTAATTTTTTATTTTTGTAGAGACAGGGTCTCTCCACGTTGCCTAGGCTGGTCTTGAACTCCTAGCCTCAAGCAATCCACCTGCCTCAGTCTCCCAAAGTGCTGAGGTTACAGGCATGAGCCACCATGTCTGGCCAACTTTCTTGACTAGTATTCTCTTTTAAGATATTAGAGGCAAGTGTTAAGAGGTTACACAAGGGATTGTTATAGATTTGTAAAACGAGGCTGGATGATGGTAACTTTGAGATCTGTAAATATTTACACAGCTGTCTCAAAAAAAATCACTTTTTCTCACATGATGAATTGATTATCTAAATGTGAAAGGGAAAATAATTCTAGAAGAAAATTTAGGAGAACAACTTTATGATTTGGAGCTAGGCAAAGATTTCTTAGGACACAAAGAACATAAGCCATAAATAAAATAAGTTGGACTTTATAAAATTAAGAGCTTGTTTTCACCAAAAGATATCATTAAGAGAATGAAAAGGGAAGCCACAGAATAGGAAAAGATATCTGTGGCCAGCAGCGGTGACTCATGCCTGTATTCCCAGCACTTTGGGAGGCTGAGGTGGGCAAATCACTTGAGGCCAGGAGTTCAAGACTAGCCTTGTCAACATGATGAAATCCTATCTCTACTAAAAAAAAAAAAAAAAAAAAAAAATTGGCCATGCATGGGTGGTACATGCCTGTGATCCCAGCTACACAGGAGGCTGAGGCATGAGAATTGCTTGAACCCAGGTGGCAGAGGCTGCAATGAGCCAAGATCATGCCACTGCACTCTAGCCTAGGCAACAGAGCAAGATCCTGTCTTAAAAAAAAAAAAAAAAAAAAAAAGGAAAAGATATTTGCAACACTCACAACCAACAAAGATGTCTTAGCCACAATCTCTAAAGAAAGCTACAAGTCAATAAGAAAAAGCCAGGTGACTCAATAGAAAAGTAGACAAAAGACAGACATATACTTCACAAAAGAGCTCATTAAGATGACCAATAAACACAATGGTTATTTGTTTTTATTTCCATCAAGCATGTAGAATTCTCAACTAACATCCAAGTTTCAAAAAATCCAGAAAAGTCAATACTGTGCTGATGCTGTCAGATAATCAACTGTAGACGAGACAGTATTCGTGCCTGCAAGGATCAGCCTATTGAAAGATAATGCAATAAAGTGCAAGGCATTAGCGTAAAGACAAGGTTTAAAGCACATGGTAGTAACATAGCTTAATTCAGAATAAAGGAACAAGGAGTCCGCAGAGGAGGTGACAAATGAGCTGTGCCCTGATGGATGGGCATGAGTGGGCTGACAATGTGTACCTCCCGACATGAGGGGCCTTGCAGGTGGTGGAAGTGGAAGGAGGACAATAGGAGCAAGTCTGACGATCCTCCCAAAGTGGCACCTTCTCAATGATTGGTAAGATGTGGGGCTAGAAACATCAGGGGGTCACTCTGACAGCACTCAAGGAGAAAAGAGATGGAAAGATATTTCCCCTGTCATGAACTTACTCCATCCCCCAGTGGGAACAGACCCCACCCCTGTTCTGACTCTTGCTCTCCCGTCTCTTCTCCCTCCCCTCAGTTTCCAGCTGAAATAGAGACCCCTCTCAATTGTTGTGCATTTTCTTCAGGGGTCGGGGTTGAGCTGCTATTATTAAAACTTGTATGAGTTTCCTTCTTACTTCTTCAGCGAATTCACCTCTGTAGGTCATCAGCCTTTAGCCCCTGGGAACCTCAGGACAGGTAGAATATGCACAATTTCAGCTAATTTATCCTGCCAGTGAGACACAACTGCAGCTTCATTAAAAGATCTGTGTCAGGCTTCACAGAAATAATGAAAATACTGTCAACCAGTTGGCAAGAATTTCAAAGCAGCCCTTTTATGTCTGGCGGCGAGGGCACCCGAGGTTGGCCTCCTTTGCTGTCAGCCTTTCAGTTCAAGACAAAGAGCATGACTGTTCTTCTCTAGAAATCAGCAAAACTCTCCTGGAGCCATTTAGTAACAGGATTTCTTTAAAAAACATTATGTGATTTTCCAGTAGAAATAAATATTTTCCTAGCAAGTCTTAAATGGAATTGCAGGGATACTCAACACAGAACCAAGCACAGGTATGAGACACTCACTAATGTGTCTTGTTCCAGTTCATCTTGGACTGTAAGGATTTGGGTGGGCCAATTTTTTTTCTATTATTATTTCCTTTCTTTCTTTTTCTTTCTTTATAACTTATTTTCTGAATCATTATAAATTGTAAATAACAGAAACTTCCTTTTCTAAAATTTCATTATGGTCTTACAGAGAGTAGTGGGTAACAGGGGAGAACTACAAATAATTAATAAAAATTTGTATTGGATTTTTGAGGAAAAAAACTGAAAAAGTTCAAGAAAGTGGTCTAAGTTCTTCAACAAACAACAAACTTTATTTTTTTTAGACGGAGTCTCACTCTATCACCCAGGATGGAGTGCAGTGGCCCACAACCACACCGGCTAATTTTTGTACTTTTAGTAGAATTGAGGGGTTTCACCATGTTGGCCAGGCTGGTCTCAAACTCCTGGCCTCAAGTGATCTGCCTGCCTCAGCCTCCCAAAATGCTGGGATTACAGGCATGAGCCACTGCACCTGGCCAACAAACTTTCAAAGCAGGTTACACTATACCATATGGGAAATATTAGTGGATATCTGCAATATTAATATTTGCATGAATGATAATTTAGCCTTCATTTTTGCCTCTAGCCTGTGTGCACATTCTTTAGATGCATAGCTTCAGGCTGTGTTCTATGGGTCCCTAAGGTTTTCCTGGGATTTCATGGAGACAGAGGTGTGCTGTGGTACTGAACTCAGGCCATCAGCTAGGCTCTGAACTCTTATCTTCCACTTCAACCACAACACCTGTGCTAGTATCTGCTTTAATATTGGTGTTTACAGTAAGATATATTTTTAAAATATATTTAAGTCAGAGAGAGAGAGAGGTTGGACATCTTTATTATGGATTATTTCCCTAAACATCTTCACAGAGTCTCTCAAATGAACCTGCGGCTTTTGAACTCACTGCTCCTTCAAACTGCTAGTACCACTCTTAGACTGGGGCAAGTAGGGCGCCTATCTAAGGCCTGAAGCAAAGGGAGCCTTGTGTTTCAGAGTGCTTTCCTCAACATTTTCTTTCTTTCTTTTTTTTTTGTTTTTTTTTGAGATAAGGTCTTACTCTGTCACCCAGGCTGGAGTGGAGTGGTACAATTATAGCCCACTGCAGCCACACCTCCTGGGCTCAAGTGATCCTTCTGCCCCAGCCTCTCAGGTAGCTGGGACTACAGCACGTGCCATCATGCCCCGCTAATTTTTGATTTCTTGTAGAGACAAGGTCTCACTAGGTTGCCTGGGCTGGTCTCAAACTCCTGAGCTCAAGTGACCCCCCTGCCTCAACCTCCCAAAGTGCTGGGATTACAGGCATGAGCCCCTACATTTGGCCCACTCCTCGACATTTTCTAAGTTCTCTCCAGTGTCTGGGACTGGCTGGTCTTTCAGTAGCATCCAGACAGGCCACTCCAGCCCACATGGTTCCTGGTCCTTTTTTCGCTTCTTCAGAGCGTTCCCTGAAACTCTACCTGACATATGTGGTCAACCAGTTGCCCCAAGGAACTCTGAACCATGCTTCTGTGGGGTTGTTCTGGGGTCCTGTGGCTGGGCCCCTGTTCCAGGAGGGAAGCAGATTGCTCCTACTGGCCTGTGTGACATACATGGGCCTGTGCATTGGCACTTGTTACCTTGCAATCCTATCTCTGGTCTCTAGCACCCAAGGGTAAGGAGAGTGTTAACAGAATCTTTTACTACCAGTCCCACCACACCTTTTACAGGCTAGGATAACACATGTCAGGAAGTCCTCTGGGGTGACCCCAGGTCTGTTTCTTCTGAGAGCTTCTGAGGCTGTTGCTGCACAGTGTTGCCTCTGATTGATGGATATGGTGATGCTGTGCTCTCCCAGGTTGGTCTTAAGGTCTGACAGATGATAGATATTCCTTGGATGAATGGGATTGTACTTTTCCTGCCAAGCCTAGAGGTTCCTTTCCTCTCTTCCCTACAGAAAGCAGTGTGGGAGGCAGAAGTGTGTCCAAAATTAAAAGAGATGACATTCTAGGAATGCAATGATTATGGCCTCAAGAGTTCAAAAGAAAACATGATTGGAATATGTGTTAATTTACATTTGTGGTATAAAAGTCTGAACAATAAATTTAACGTGAGCAGAAAATCAGATTATTGCTCACATTTTCCTGCACGCCCTGGGTAACAGGCGCATTTGTGGTCATCATCAAGGAAGCACCATAACAACCTCTGAGAGAGTCACTGGAAATCAGCATTCACAGTCAACATGATGGATGATGTCATGTCATGAGTAAGAATGTAACCAGCACAAAATAACTGGTACTAGGAAACTGGAAGAGGAAAAAGATCTACATTGTTTCTATACAAATAGCTTGCAAAGAACCATGCCATTGTGAGTAATAACTACAGTGCTACTTTTTTCTTTCAGTGGGAGATATAAATTAGCCAGGAACAGCATATTTAACAATAAAGAGTATGAGGAGATAGTTCCGAGACCTGAACAGGAGCTGATGGGGCCTGGACATTACGAAGAATTTTTCAATGCACTGATTGGATAGAAAATGGCTATGTGTACCCTCTACCCATTTTCTAAATCTTTATCAGTTAATCACCTTTCATAGGTTCATAAATTTTATAATACATTTCAAATCAAATTGATTATACAGACATGCCTCCCCCACCAGACTCCAAATTTGCCCATAGACTCACACACCCTAGGGGTGTGGGGCATGCTGAGCTAAGACCTTCACCATGTCTTGCTTAATGTTTGGTCCTAACTGGTCTACCTCCTTCTTAATCTCTTCACTTTCTAGTGTATTTCCCAAACTGCCAGAGTGTTCTTTCTAAAATGCAAATCTGATCAAGTTTTCCCTGTTTATAACCCTTCAATGTCTAGGAAACCAAACTGAAATTCCTTAGGTTGGAATGTAATTTTCTTCATGACCTGGCCCCTCCTTGTCTGTTTTGCCTGACCTTACACAATACCCCAGTAGTTACTCTATGTTCTAACCCTAACAGGATTAGAACTACAACAGGAAGTTTTCCACATCCTCAGTGTTCTTAAACATTCTTCCCTCTCTTAGATTCCCTTAACATTACTAGTCTTCCTAAATGATTCCTATGTGTCGGGGAATACTCAGGTTCCCAGCACCACCTCCCTGAATGCCTTCTTCCAGCCCACAAAAGGAAAGCAGAAGTCAGTATTGCCAGAGAGAGGGGAGGGAGGAAGGGAAGGTGGAGTTGAGGTCAGAGGGTGTGGGGTGCAGTTCACAGAATCCCTGAAAGGATTATATTCTGCGTGAGGTAGTAACACATTTGGTGTCTGCAATGAATTGAGCCTCCCCAAATCCACATGGTTACGTAGTCTTTTCCTAACTCCCGATCGAGGCTGGTTCTATGATCCACTTAACCAACAGAACAACACAGAATTGGCGGAGATGTGCCTGTCTGGGGCCTAAGTCATCAGAAGCCATGACAGTTTCTGCTTTTGTGCTTTGGAGATCCCTGGGTGCCGTGTAAGATGTTCAGCTACCCTGCTAGGGAGACCCTGTGAGGAGGCCATATGGAAGAGGAGAGGCCATGAGACTACATAGTGAGAGCAAGAGACTCAGTCATCAGCAGCCCAGCTGAGCACAGCTTCCAGCTCTCTTTGCCAAGGGCCAGATATAGGAATGAAGCATCTTGGATGTTCCAGACCCATCCACAGCTGCATAAGAGTCCTGTGAGACATCCATCTGAGCCCAGTCAACCCATGGAATCATGAAAAATAATAAAGTTTGTATCAAGCTACTAAGCTAACTGATGATAACAGAACCAGGACTCAACAGGTGAGACAGGGTCTTGGCATCAAGCATCTACAAGAAAATATTAGGTGGAGGATATGCAGGAACTACTATTTGCAAACTCCAGTCTGGCATCATAAAGCAGGACTCAGAAACTGGATGGACAGGCAGAGTGCACCACTACCAGGCATCCGGCATGGCATTACACACGCTTCTCTGTTGACCTAGCCAAACTCTCCCACTCCCTGATCCATTCTCACCCTTGACTGAGAGAGATGAGAAGACAGCTGAAAGATGAACACGTTCAGTGTGACATCTACCCATAGCTGGGACAGGCAGTAAGGCAAGGTGACCATCCAGCTGGCAAGAAGGCTGAGGACAGGAAGCCAATATCTGATTAGATGTTACAGCAGAAATGGCCGAAACTGATTACCAGTTAGTCCTTTGCTCTTTTGGTCAAGGGCACAGATTCCATCCCAGTTAATTTGGCTTTAGTCCATGGCCACAGACTGAACCTTTAACCCAGCCAGCTGTCCTAATTGGATGTCCTCCCTTGGATGTCTGGGAAAGATAGGACAAGACACAATGTCTTTTGTCTGGGAAAGGCTGTGTGTGAGTGGGTTTGTCTGTAACAGTGGCATCATCAAAAAATAACTGGGTTCTAAAATGCATCCACTCATCTCCTTCCTCCCCACCTCCCCACAGGCCAGTCTAAATTTGTTCATTTATTTGAATTCCCTATTTCTGTTCATAGGACCAGCAGTCTTTCCCCAGTCCCTTAGGTTTAAAACTTTGACATCACTTTTGAAGTCTCTCTTCTCTCTCCCCTACACCCAAGCTAAACTAATATGGCTCACTTCTGCAACATCTCTTAGCTCTTTCCCTCTTTTCTATTTTCACAGTTCTAGTCAAGGTATGTATGACTCTTAAATGGAGATTTTCAATGCTTCTTAACTAGTATTGCAGCTTCTACCCTTTTTTCTCCTTTCTTCAATCCAACTTTCACATCCCTGCCTAGAATACCTTCTGATAATGTCATTTTCCAACACTCAGTTCATCAGTGTTTTTCTAATACCTGCAGCAGGCTTGCAAACTGGAAGACCGTCAGGTGATTTAAATGTGAGACACGACTGAGCGTAAGACACTAGGGTGCTGCATAGCTCCTCCGGCAGGTGCAGAGTGTGAATCCTGCTGAAGGCATTTCCTGTCTTTATTTTTATAGCTAGTGTTCTGACCAGACAAACCACAAAATTCCACAAAATAAAGGCCAAATTCTTCAGTCTAACATTTAAAGCTTTCCATGATTAGATTCCAACTTACTTTTCCAGACACAGAGCTTTTAATGTCAGTATGTAGCTCAGAGATGGTATGTATAGGGTACATGTGCCACCACACTTCCATCCCTGGTCCATGGAAGATATTCCCACTAATCGTAGGACCACTAATCATGGTCCTCTTTCCTGTTGGGCTCAGATACAGCCTCCAGATCGTCCCCAAGAGAGCATCTATGAGCCAGAGGTGCTTAATGTATCCATTAAAACCTATTTGCCATTGTGTACAAGCTCACATCTGATCACTTTCAGCCCATGCCGAATCCCCTCGGTCCACTGTACTGTGCTTGTCATGCAGACCAGAGGACTTCAGCATTTTGAAATAAACACCTTGGTTAGCTGGTTCTCTCTGACCCACTCTCAGCTACCACACAGGCTGCTCCGCTGTAGGCTCAGTCCCGTTTTAGGTGAGTTGCCCCCTGGTCGCTTCAGGTCATGGCAGGAGACTGATCCTGATCCTGGTAGTTTGCTCCAGAGAGAGAGGCTTGGATGAGGGTCTTATCTTAGCTAAAGCAGATTTCATGACAAGCCTCCCATCCCTGTACCCCTCTTCCAACCCCTGTAGTGGCAAATGCTGAGGGCTGATCTCAGGGAGACCCTACCCCACTGACGCTACTGTTTTAGATGAACCAACTCACAAAACAACTGGTGCACAACATCCAGTCTGTTCATGACCATTGGTGAACGTCATCTGTTTGTGTGTTCAAGCTCCCTAAAAGCCTCATAATCTAGGTTGCTGCTTGGGCTTGGCATGGTAGTGTGTGTGGCTGTGGGAGATGTTCATGCTATACAAAATGCCCAAATGCCCATGCCACACAGAGTGGGTGGCAGGATTTCCCTTTGAGGAGCTCTATGTGCATTCCTTCAATGACTGGGGGTCTACTTCACTTTTTCATATTCCATTGGGGCCTGCACATTCCAGAGAGCCCAGTTTTCCTCTCTGTTTGGCAAGACTTATTCTTTCTCCTAAAGTAACTGACTGTCGTATTTGTTTTAAAAGAGCGAGTAAGACAGATGCTAATAATATCACATAGACTAACTCAAAAACTCAAGGGAGGGGAAGCGGGGGAAAGAACCATTTATTTTATGGTCGATGGAGTCAGTTTGTCTTATGATCTTATCAAGAGTTCTGCAGCCTGGTACCTGCCACGTTGGCTATCACACCTGCTTTGTGTGGATATCATGCCTTAAAGACAGGCTTGAATATGGCAATTTAATATGATGGAGGTCTCCTTTATGTGCCATCCTAAGTGCCACTCTGATTGCCTACATAGGTTAACATGCCTCTTGCAAAGCCTTAGAATGATTGAGTCACTGGAGCAACAATGGCTAGTCATGCAGCAGGTGTGATAGTTAATTTTTGGTGTTATCAAATGCTGCACCACAGCTGGCAGCCCTGATCTCACAGACCTCTATGGTCTTAGCCTACTGAGTATCTTTCATCTTTTCAGAATTTCTGGGGTTGATTTTTTTTTTAACTTAGGAATAAATTCTGCTATGGACTGAATGTTTTCCCCCTCCCCCGCCAAATTCATACATTGAAGCCCTAATCGCCAGTGAGATGGTATCTGGAGGTAGAGCCTTTGGAACATAATTAGATCATGAGCGTGGATCCCTCATGAATGGGATCAGTGCTCAATAAGCAACATGAGAGAAATGACCTCTGTCTCCATCATGTGAGGATACAGCAAGAAGGTGGCCATCTGCAAATCAGGAAGAGAACCCTCATCAGACCCCACATCTGCCAGAACTTTGATCTTGAACTTCCAGCTTCCAAAACTGTGAGAAATAAATTGAGTATAAGCCACCCAGTCCATAGTAATTTGTTATAGCAGGCCAAAACTGACTAGAAGTTTCACACAAGAATTAGTTACATTTGAAGAGAAGGAAAGAGATAAAACCTCTGTTAAGGACTGGTTTTCCAGGAAGAGTGATTATTTCCATCCATACAGAGGTGGAGGGAGGGCATTATATGCATGACAATTCCCCCTCAGAATGAGGTGTTACTGTTGATGTTTATCTTTAACAAAGACAAAGACATTAGTGAGATGGTGTTTACAACTGAGGTGGCTTCATGGAAAAGGCAGAACTTAGTGGGAATGAACCTCTTTTCACTACAAGCTTGTTCGTCATTGAGGATTCACCTCAACTGAAATTGTAGGGTCAATTCCAGCCTCAGGTGGCCAAGGCCTCCCATCTGATTCCTGCCCGGGCTCAGGACACATGCACTTTCCCCTGGGCTAGGGCCAGGTGGAAGGTGCTCATTTGCCTTGATGTCCCTAGAGTGCAGAGGATTGCATTTTATAAAACTAATGAAGGATTTAAACTAATATACTAATAAACTAATGGAGGATATATAACTAATGAAGGATCTGATCCCTGCCCTGGTTCAGGACACATGCACTTTCCCCTGGGCTAGGGCCAGGTGGAAGGTGCTCGTTAGCCTTGATGTCCCCAGAGTGCAAAGGATTGCATTTTATAAAACTAATAAAGGATTTAAAGGTAATTTTTCATTATTTTTCTCTATTTAATTGATATAATCACTTTTTTGTGAGGAAAATACAGTTTAACCAAGGCAGATACTATGTCACCCCTACACCTCTACAACTGTTTGATCACCCATAGGGTAACTCAATTAATGTAACACAGCAGCAGGAAGGAGTCATGCCTGAAACAGCCTCCCAGCCGAGGCTCTGTGGGCTAAAGGAGGGGGACAATGGCTGGTGAGGGGGAGACAGATTTGTGCTATTTAACAAAATGTTTGCAAAACAATGATCTAGTAAATACACTGGAAACTTACAAAATTATGTTCCTCTCCTGATCATTGTAGGGATTTTAGGGGTTTTTTTTAATAGTTAAAATTTTATTAGGAAACAGGAATATTCAGAAAAGACTGAAAAAAATCACAAGATATTATGAAGAATTAATTAGGAAAAAGCCTAGCGAGAAGGCTGTAACATAACAGACATACAGTGGACCCGGGAACAACTTGGGTTTGAATGTGTGGGACCACTTAGACGCAGATTTTCTGCCACCTCTGCCACTCCTGGAACAAGACCAACTCCTTCCTCCTCCTCCTCCTCCTCCTTAGCCTGCTCAACATGAAGACAAGGATGAAGATCTTTCTGATGATTTCTTCCATTTAATAAATAGTAAATATATTCCCTTTTTCTGATTTTTTAAATAATATTTTCTTTCTCTTGCTTATCTTATTGTAAGAATTCAGTATATACTACTTATAGCATACAAAATGTGTGTTGTTTATGTTATCAGTAAGACTTCCCGTCAACAGTAGGCTATTAGTAGTCAAGTTTTGGGGGAGTCAAGTTATCTGTGGATTTTCAAGGGCTCAGGGGGTCAGTGCCCCGAATCCCCATGTTGTTAAAGGCTCAATTATGATTTATTTCATGGCATCAGGAGTCAATCTCTTGATACTTCTAGTTTTCTCAAAGCCACCTTTTATGTTCATCATTGTTCAATTTATTTCCCAGCAAATATGTAAGTTTTTTATTGCCATATATAAAGTTACAGTGCATCTCCTGTGTTCTGTCTTATCCTTCATCCCCCTAAATGCTGCTTTAAATGGCAGGCCAGGGTGTAGGGTGTTTGATGTTCTCTGAGTTAGCATGAGTTCTGAGCTGTAAGTAAATCATACATGTACTACGTAATTCATGAATTATTTATTTTTGCTTGTGCTTTCTATAGAACACTATGTATCAAAATCAAATTCAAAGTACTTTAATCTTAGGTGATTTCAGATCATTAAAATAACTGGCTATCCAGCCTTGCAGGAAAGGTTTTTTTTTTTTTTTTAATCTATGTCTCCATAAAGGTTCTGACCAGCTAGAAGAAGTAGCAGTCTTCCCCACATTTACTTATGCCACAGAGGTGATGGATCAGCCACAGAGAACACAAGGAGCTTAAAGAAATCGAGTCCTGGTCAGGCGTAGTGGCTCACGTCTATAATCCCAGCACTTTGGGAGGCCGAGGCAGGCGGATCACCTGAGGTCAGGAGTTCAAGACCAGCCTGGACATCATGGTGAAACCTCGTCTCTACTAAAAATACAAAAATTAGCTGGGTGTGGTGGCACACACGTGTAATCCCAGCTACTTGGGAGGCTGAGGCAGGAGAATCGCTTGAACCCAGGAGTCAGAGGTTGCAGTGAGCCGAGATCACATCACTGCACTCCAGCCTGTGTGACAGAGCGAGATTCCTTCTAAAAAATAAAAATAAGGGAAAATGTTCTCCTGCTCTCTGGGTTCCATTAACACCTGACTTTTTTAAACTTTAATTTCAAAAAATTGACATAAAATGTTATGTACTTATATACAGCTTTAAATCAGTTTCTCTCTTCTCTGATACCCTAGGAAACAATAACTCCTGCTGTGGTAGCATTTTCTAATAGACCTTGCTGCGTGTCAAGAAGTGAAAGTTGACCCAGAATTAAAGACTCCTGTTTTCTTTACCACCTTCTCTTTCTCTCTTGCTTTCTAAGTTGTTTCTAAAGGTAAAGATCCTAGAGAGGCCTGATAAACAGAGAACTCCAGTAAGACCCACCTATGCTTTATAGGAACAGGTTCTCATATCCTCTCTGATGTTTGTCCCTTGGTGGGTTTGTGTTGCAATGTACCTGCTGTTCTGTAGGTGGGAGTCTGTGGGTAGGGGGTACCCTAAGGTCTGGAGGATCAGGAAAATGTGGAGGTGAGATAGGAGTTACCCCAGGCAGCCTGGATTAACGCTGCAGACACAGAGACCTCAAACTTTTCATTCATTCATTTATTCGTTCTGTTTACTGATGGACCACCTGTTACATGCTGAGAATTGTGCTCAGCTCTGAGGGGTACAAAAAAGAAAGACCTGGTCCTCTGCTTTAAGGACCAATATTGTCGGAAAATGGACATGCAAATGAACAATCACACATTAAATGCATTTTTATAAAGGAAATCTATACATGAAAGCAAGGATCTAGAAATCCTTCATTCTGTTCAGTCATTGTTTTTGTATCATGGGGAAGGGGAGGAATTGGTATGAAATTTTATTTTCAGAGGAGGCAAATTGTAGCCAGAAACACACCAGGATTCTAGTCCCAGGGCAAGATACTCTACTCTTTGCTCTCCAATTTCCTCATCCTAACATGATGGCATTGACCAACACACTTCTGGGGTCATGGTCAGGAAGGAGGGAAGTTAGCCAAACTGACTGAGTCCTTGGCCTGAGTCCTAACCCTGGCCTTTTATTGGGCCTCAGTTTGTCCATCTTTCCTGGACCACCATTCTCTGACTGTTAAATGGGAAGAATATCTACCTCTCAGGATTGATGGGGGATAAAGAAGGAATGTATGTTCTCTTTCCTCCTTCTCCTTTTCATTCTTACCTATGATTCTATGCATATGCTACTCCATCATTACGTTTCATGACTCAGAATTGTATACATTTCAGAACAGTAACGTGGTGCACATACTGCATTTAAAATAGCATACCCAACTGTGTCTACACCCCATAATCAAAACTTTTATATTTTAGTATCAAAGCATATAAATATTCAATTAGATGGGATAAGTAAATGTCTTAGGTAACCTCATATCATTTTAGGTAAGATTTTGCCACCACGTGTTTTTTTGCAAACTCATAAGAAATTTTTTTTTGACAGCTCTTTTGATTTTGATAAAGAATTATGGACTTCTAATAACAATTTGGTTCATAAAATAATTTTGCGGGAGAAATAACTCTTTCATTTATGTTTACTTCCAAATGGATGGCTTCCGGTTAATCACTCTTGGCCCTCCCTTTGTAGCCCTGCACACAGCCTGTGAGAAGGGCATGAGGAGGACGGCGATTACCCAGATTGGCAACCTTGACAAAAAATAAACCAGGCATGTTCCCCTCAGCTTCACCGACTTTACTCTTGGAAGGAAATTGGTCATTGGCTCTGCTGTGACTCTCTGCCTAATTTAGTTACAAATCCCTATTCGTGCCTCAGATTTTATTATTACTGGTAATAACAATCATTATATTTATGTCTCCTTCGGTCACCCTTTGTTTTATTTCTCAGTTAAGAACTCAGATGAGAAGAGGCCTGACTCCTCAGAAAATAATTTGGTCCTTGAGCAATTTCATTGTCCACTCAGCATTTAACTGAGCAAATAAAACAGTGGAATTTTGATTGAAAGAAATATTGTATACCTGTAGAGAGGATTTTGGTGACTTTGGGGCTCGGACTTGGGTGTGTGAGCAGGGCCTTCAATTGTGGCCCTTTGTAATGGTTTGTGTTAGGCCAGGCAAGATAGTACAGCTGTGCATTTCACCATGGCAGGCAGGACAAGGAGGGAAAGAAGGAGGGAAGGAAGGAAAAGAGGAAGGGAGGAAGAAGGGAAGGGAGGGAGGAAGGGAGGGAGAGAAGAAGGGATATAATTCATATAGTACCTAGTATTAGAATAGGAGTTTTCTCATTATCAGAAGTAAAAACTTTCAAAATAATATAAAACAACCACTACCTCATAAAGGGTAAACAAATGAACATCCTCAGCTGTCTTTAGATACAGCCAACTGATCTCAACCTGGAAGTTGTGGTGTTGATATATAGTTGGTCTACTGGCAGTCTCACCCTTAGAGCTGGACCAACAGGGCCTTGACTCAAAGGGTCCTAGAATTTGGAACTTCTTCCTTGAATTTTTAGTTTACCTCTGGTGATTGGGGCCAGCCAGAGCTGGCAGTGACATCTGGACGGGGTACAGCGAACCTGGACTAGACTCATACCTATGGGGGCATGTGGAACGCTCTTGCCTGGCCTGTATGCCAGAAGGGCAGCTTGGCCAGCAGATGTTTCTTTAACAGGATCACATGAGATTGGTCCACCAGAATGATGCTGACATGCTGATTTGGAGTGGCTCCAATTGTTAATATAGACAAGAGCTCTGCAAAAAAAAAAAATATTTCTGTAGTTCCACACACAATTACGGTCACCTGCCTACTGGTTCTGTTCTTCCATGATTCTATTATTCCCAAGAAAGAAGACACAGGAAAGTCTACACATTCAGCCAAGGAAGGAATTATTGAAATAAAGGTACCACATTTCACAGAGGACATTAAAGGACTGAAAGTATATCTCAAATTTGGAGCAAAAAGAATTCTGAAATTTCACAGGGAAAGTATTACTGGAGTTGTAGAGTACATCTGAGATCAATCTTGGCCAGACTGTGACTGATTCGGAGAGCAACTTGAGAGACAAATTGCAAAATTTCCCTAAAAATGGAAACTTAGGACTCTGGTTGACTGAATAAAACCATGGTCTCAATGAGTAGGAAGTGGGAGAAATAGAAGACAGAATAAAGAAAAAAGAGTTTAAAAATCAGTAACTAGTAGGGAACAAAAATATGTCATTGTTCTGGGAAGATGTGCTATCAGGAAGGGTAGGAAGTGGAAACTGGGGGCTTCAGTGGTTTTGTTACAAGTAGACGAACAGCCCTGGACCCAAGACCTCTCCATAGCGTCTCTGCCTGTGAGGAGAGCACAGCCTACAGGAGCTCCCAAGTTTCAGAGGCGGGCGGCTTGTTGGAAACAGAAATGCCAGGGTCCCAGTGCCTCAGTCCTGATTGATAGAATTCTCAGGGGCCCAGTAACCTGCCTTTAAACAAGCTCTCCAGCTGATTCTGATACAGATAGTCTATGGACAGCATGCAGAGAACACAGGCATAAAGTCAGGATTCTTTTGTAATGATTACAATAAACACATGTTGCAAATGCAAACACAAGCACTTTCTCTGGTCACAAGGTTAAATTCCAGGCCCCTGCAGAGTCTGCCTTTGGGCCCCACCCACCACTCTCTGCCCAGGCCTGCCACCTAAAGTCTCAACCCTCCTCTTTGATGGGTCCCCAACACCTCAAGCTGCCTGGTTGGTAACAAAGCCTGTGTTTGGGTGGAAAGGCTATTTTTTCTCATGCTTTTCTAGAACACTATGGTTTGTTTTTTTTTTTCCACCAAGGAAGCGTAGGAAATACATGAAATGTCTTGGTTCACAAAGGCAGAAAATACCAGAAAGTTGACCAGCACTTGAGTATAAGCAGCAGCTTCATTTTTGTACATACACTACAAAAGATGTTTTAAAAATACCTCCCCCAAGCAGTCAAAATGTCATTCCTTATATACCAGTGTTTGCCTATAACAAACTAAAATGATTATGAAAAGTCCTATAATAATTTTCCTATCATCCTTCCTTTCATCCCTTGTCTTGAATGTGGAGGCATCCCAGGAAAAGGGAACGGTAGTATCAACTGCTCCATGGAGATGGAAAAGCTTTGAGATGGAAGAGTCGGGGGAAATAATGGTATAGAAGCAGTTTACTGTTGTCATCCATAGAAGATGCTATAGGGATACTGGAGATGAGAAATGAAATTGGGTGAGGCTTGAACATGAGTCAAGCTTTGTATTTACCTTGGTAGTGACAGGAAAACACTGGCAGTTTTTAAGGAGTCATATGACATGATCAGGGCTGAGCTTTCAAAAAAATTAACCTGGCAAGATATGGAAATGGGATGGATAGAATGAGAGAGTGATTGAGATGGGACAGGAAAGCAAGAGGTCATCGCAGTAATCCAGGTGAGGGGCTATGAAGTCTGTGATGGAGAATTGGTGGTGGCTGTGGATGGTAGGAAAGACTGTGAAGGAAATTAGGGAGTGGCTCCTACAGGGCTTAGACCTGCAACGATGTGAGACAAGAGAGATTTCTGAGGGTCAAGCCTCGCTGACTGGGGAGATCATAATGCCATTGCAGAAATGGGAAATAGTGGAAGAGGAGCTAGTTGAAGATTGACACATTGTAAACTTGAAGTTCAACTTGATATCTGGATTTGCAACTAGATAGCCGTGTCAGGATAGAGGAAGGACCTAGAGATAAAGGGCAAAGTTGCCTATTTCCATTGCTTAGACTGTCCCTTAGTGGAGATCTCAGAAGGTTAGGGGAGGAGAGAGGGGCTGGGCTGTGCCAGTAGAGACAGAGAACTGGAGAGTAGAGGGAGGCAGATAATGTGGTTCAGGCCAGATACAAAATCTGAAAAGAACTGGGTTTGAAGAATTTTCTGGTTTACCTGGGACTTTTACCATTTTCTCTAGTACTCTCTTGAGCACTAGGCCACCATATTTTTCCCAGGACCTTTCAAGGTTCCCATCCCATGAACTTTTCTCAAAAACAGGAAGGTGTGCACCTGAGAGCCATGTAAATATCCTGAAATATTCTAGATTTGGAGAGACACTTTAGACTTGGCTGACTTGGGCAGCATTTCTTAATCCTTGATGGTCTCAGTTTTGTAGAAAGAAAGAAAGGGAAGGAAGGGAGGGAGGGAGGGATGGAGGAGGAAAGAAGAAAAAGAGGAAGAAGGAGAGAGAAAGAAAGGAAATTAAGAGCCACTTCATAGGGTTTTGTGTGGGTGTGTGTGCACACATGTGTGTGCGTGTGTGTGCAGAGGAGAAAGGAGATAATACATAATAAAGCATCCATACAGTGACTTGTAAATATTAAGCCTTCAACAATTATTAGTTTCCTTTTCCTCTGCCCTGCATGTGTCAATAGCAATTCCCAGTAGAAATGGGAAACTCTCGGTAGACCAGCACCGAGCTAGAGTGTGAGGGTCTGCTTTCCAGCCCTGTGCCAGCTATTGAGTAGGTTATGACCTTGGGCTAGTTCCTCAGCTAGGGCCTTCTGTCTCAGTTTGCACACCACTAAAATAAGAGAGCTGGCCTAGATTAGTGTTTGCTAATTTCTACCACCAAGTAATTTAAAAAAAAAAATAGTATATATTTAAGGTGTACAACATGATGTCTTGACAAACATACATAATGAAATGGTCACTACAGTCAAGAAGCAAATTAGCATATTCATCATCTCACATAGTTACTTTTTTAGTGTGGGTGGCAAAAGTACATAAGGTCTACTTTCAGTGAATTTTCAGTATAAAATACAATTCTATTAACTATAGGATAGTTATGTTATACACTAGATCTCCAGATTTCTTCATCCTACATAACTAACTTTTTACCCTTTGACTTCTGTCTCTTCATCTCCCCACCCCTGTTCTATTCTGTTTCTATGCATTTGAGCTTTGTTTTTCTTTTTAGATTGCACATAAATGAGATCATATAGTACTCTTCTTTCCATGTCTGGCTTATTTCACTTAGCATAACGTCCTCTAGGTTCAACCATGTCACAAATGGCAAGATCTCTCTTTTTTAAGGCTGAATCATATTCCATTGTAGACATGTACCATAAATTCTTTATCTATTCATTCATCAATGGACACTTAGGTTGTTTCCATATCTTGGTTATTGTTTCTAGATCTTGGATATTGTGAATTATGCTGCAATAAATTATGCTGCATAATTATAATGCATAAACATGGGGGTGGTAATTTCATTTCCTTTGGTTATGCACCCATAGATAGATTGCTGGATATATGGTATTTCTATTTTTAGCTTTGAGGAGCCTCTGTTCTGTTTTCCATATTGATTATACTAATTTACATTCCCACCAACCATGTACAAAGGTCTCCTTTTCTCCACACTCTTGCCAAAAATTGCCTCATCTTTTTGATAATAGCCATTTTAAACAGGTGTGAAATGATATTGCACTGTGGTTTTGATTTGTATATCCTTGATGATTAGTGATGTTACCACCAAGGAATGCTTTTATCCTTTCTCATACTTGCTATCTTTTGAAAGAATTTTTTTTAATCAACCAGAAGTTGTTAAGTAACTGATTCATTTCTTATGTGATCCCCAGTGTTACTAAACTGGATTAATATAACTATTGCCCAAAGAAGCTTGCACAGACTTTATATAAGAAAATATGCAACAGCTATTAGAGGCTTAAACTAAGAAAAACAGCATGCGGACACTATTATAACCATATTGGAATGTGAAATTCTAGGTTGAACACCACTAGACAAGTTAGTCTTAAGGTTCCGTCTAACCCTCTCTGAACCCATAAGGTAGTATAGAGTTTCTACTGTATACCTTTTGGAGGATTCAGTAATTTATTTTGCCTTTAAAGGTAGCAATTCAATGTAGTTAGGAAGATAAAGCTATGACAGGAAGTAATTAGAGACCTATTAAGCACTAAACTGAGCATCAGAATATTTAATACAATAAGCAATCAGAAAAGAGATTTAGTGTGGGCTGGGGTAGTCAGACTCCATCAATGTTGAGAAGAGATAGACTTTCTCTGGTTCTTTAATGATAATTACATTTTAAATAACCTGAAAGGGCAAATGAGGGCATTTAAGGATTGGCTAAGAGAAGGACTTTATCATAGGATGCAAAGAAGAGAAGCCAACAGAAGAGAATGAATGCTCTACTTTTTCCTATCTTTTTTTCCCGAGAAAAAAAAGTGTCCATTTCTTCGCCCTTACTTCTGGACTCAGGGGATAAAGCCCAAAGTGTTTTGTGATTTAAGTCATTCTTTCCTCTCTAGTTTCATTTCCAGCCACACCCTCTCCCAAACTCCATACTCCAGTCATCTCAGAAGATGGTACCTGATCCACCAAGTTTCTCAAGCCCCAAACCCTAAGCGTCTTCTTGATTCCTTCCTTCCCCTCCCTCTCCTCTCCTCACCAGCCAATCTTCCAAAGACACCTGTAGAGTACATCTCTAAATTTCCACATTGTCTTTATACAGTGCAAATCCTATTGCCACTTCTCTGCTTAAAATATTTAATGGCTCTTCATAAGCTACAGAATAAAGTCAAAACCTCTTATGGTGCCATAGCAGACTCTTGATTATCTAGTCCCTGATTACTTTTCTAATCTCATCTCCATTGGTTTCCTTCCTCCAAGGCTTGATGGAATGTGTACGAATTCAACTGCTAGAGAAATCATCGGAGGCAGCAAGACTAAGTATTAGAGGATAAGAGCTTAAATTAAGGCAATAGGAATGGGGATAGTAATAAGGATATGGATTTGAGAAATATTGAGTAGAACAGAGACAACTTAGTGACTAGTTAAATGTAAGGATAAAAAGAGGCAAAGCAGGGATGATGATGATGACAACGATGATGGCAATAAGTAAATGACACCAAACATTTTTCTGTGCAGTTACAACATATAAAGCTTTGTTTTTGAGTGTTTAGGTGTGTTAACACGTTAAAATTTCAAAACGATCCTATGGGATAGAAGCTGTATTTATCCACATTTTACATATAGGAAAACTGAGGCACATAAGTTTAATAGCTCGTCGAAATGCACACTGGGTACTTTCATACAGTCTAGCTTTAAAACCATGCATGATTAAGCACAAAACAGCCTCCTTTGCCTTGTCAAACTGATTGCCATCTCCTGAACATGCCATACTCCTTTGAAACCGTTGTCTTCCCATTCCTTCTGTGTGAAATGCCCTTATCCCTTCCTTTGAATGGAAACCTTCTTTACGACACATCAAATGTTACCTCCTCTGGGAAGTCCTCTCTGTGCCTTCCTCCAGCAGAGTTCTTTACCCCCTATTCTGTTTATATTATGCCATTTGCATGGCTCTATTGGGGAATATATTATACTATGTGCAGATTGGGGACATATAATACACTATGTGCCCATTACTTCTTAGCACATCTATTCCCACCCATGAACTAGACTATGAGCTCTAAAAAGGACAGAATCTGTGTCTCATTTATCTCTCAAGCCCCAGGATCTAGCATATTTCCTGAGCTATAGGAGGTACTCAATGCTTATTGAATGAATGAATGAGTGAATAAATGAATAAAAATATGGCCGGGCACAGTGGTTTAGACTTGTAATCCCAGCACTTTGGGAGGCCAAAGAGGGTGGATCACTTGTGGACAGGAGTTCAAGACCAGCCTGACCAACATAGTGAAACTCCATCTCTACTAAAAATACAAAAAAATTAGCCAGGCGTGGTGGTGCACACCTGTAGTCCCAGCTACTCAGGAGGCTGAGGCATGAGAATTGCTTGAACCCAGGAAGTGGAGGTTGCAGTGAGCCAAGATCGCACCACTGCACTCCAGCCTGTAGAGCAACAGAGCAAGACTGTCTCAAAAAAATGAATAAAAATATGGAGGTGGGAATTATCCACTCTGCTGTGTTACTAATGGTGATGATGTGAGCTCTTAATGCAGGATTGAGACAGATGAACATCAGTGGAGGGACCAGAAGAATCAAGTGGACAGGTTAGAGATAAACTTGAGACTGGCATGACTGAAGAGGTTAGCAAAATGACACCCAGAATAGCCAAGTAGGGGATGTCAAAAGTCTGAGGATGTAACTGTGGAAGATAGATGCAACAGGAACGTCTTAAGATCAGACCTGAAAGGAGTAACAAACAGATGTTACTCTTATTTCTGGGCACTGGTTTCAACAATTCCCCTGCCATTAAATTCCTGGAATATGGCTGCTGTTGACTTATTCCCCTTTTCCTAGAATTTCAGAAAGTATGTGAATTGCAGAATAGACACCATTACCAAAGAGTTTTCTGGAAAAGAAAACAACATTTGCAAGTAGCATGCAACAAAGATCAAGTCAATGTTTTTGTAGAAGCCAAAATTGCTTGAACCCCAAAATGTTATCTGAATACTTATCCCATTCACATGGCTGATCTTTACCCTCCATGTCTCCTCACCCACCATTTATGGAGGGACCTCCCCTGTGTGCTTGGTTGCTGGACTTATTTTGTAATCTGCTTCTTAGAGATCCCAGCCTTCTAATAAAGGGAATGGGTTGGTTTCTTTTCTCTCCATGTGTCAATATAATCTTCCTTTGTCTTTACACATTTTTACGTGCTGGCTGGAGAGCCACTTTGGTTTTTTGTTTTTTCTTTTGGTTTGTTTTTTGTTTGTTTTCTGAGACAGGGTCTAGCTCTGTCACCCAAGCTGGAATGCAGTGGTGCAATCATGGCTTACTGCGGCCTCAACCTCATGGGTGTCAGGCCTCTGAGCCCAAGCCTGCACATATACATCCAGAGGGCCTGAAGCAAGTGAAGAATCACAAAAGAAGTGAAAATGGCTGGTTCCTGCCTTAACTGATGACATTCCACCATTGTGATTTGTTCCTGCCCCACCTTAACTGAGTGATTAACCTTGTGAAATTCCTTCTCCTGGCTCAGAAGCTCCCCCACTGAGCACCTTGTGACCCCCGCCCCTGCCAATAAGAGAACAACCCCCTTTGACTGTAATTTTCCACTACCCACCCAAATCCTGTAAAACAGCCCCACCCCTATCTCCCCTCACTCTCTTTTTGGACTCAGCCCACCTGCACCCAGGTGAAATAAACAGCCTTGTTGCTCACACAAAGCCTGTTTGGTGGTCTTTTCACACAGACATGCGTGACATTTGGTGCTGAAGACCCAGGTCAGAGAGACTCCTTTGGGGGACCAGTCCGCTGTCCTTGCCCTCACTCTGTGAGGAGACCCACCTACGACCTCGGGTCCTCAGACCAACCAGCTCAAGGAACATCTCACCAATTTCAAATCGGGTAAGCGGTCTTTTCACTTTTCTCCAGCCTCTCTCACTACCCTTCAATCTTCCTCTCTTGC
Source organism: Homo sapiens (assembly GCF_000001405.40). Lineage (NCBI taxonomy): Eukaryota > Metazoa > Chordata > Mammalia > Primates > Hominidae > Homo > Homo sapiens. The sequence goes on from NC_000012.12 coordinate 76,292,332, forward strand.
TACCCTTCAATCTCCCTGTCCTTCCAATTCCAGTTCTTTTTCTTCTCTAGTAGAGAAAAGGAGACACATTTTATCCGTGGACCCAAAACTCTGGCGCCAGTCATGGACTTGGGAAGACAGTCTTCCCTTGGTGTTTAATCACTGTGGGGACGCCTGCCTGATTATTCACCCACATTCCATTGGTGTCTGATCACCACAGGGACGCCTGCCTTGGTCATTCACCCACATTCCCTTGGTGGCAAGTCAATCGCGGGGACGCCTGCTTTGGCTGCTCACCCACATTGCAGCCCAGGGCTGCTCCCCACCCCCCTTCTCTGTGTCTCTACCCTTCTTTTTAAACTTGCCTTCTTCACTGTGGGCACGCTTCCACCCTCCATTCCTCTTTCTTCTCCCTTATCCTGTGTTCTCAAGAACTTAAAACCTCTTCAACTCTTGCCTGACCTAAAATCTAAGTGTCTTATTTTCTTCTGCAACACCGCTTGGCCCCAATACAAACTTGACAATGGTTCTAAATGGCCAGAAAATGACCCTTTTGATTTCTCCATCCTACGAGACCTAGATAATTTTTGCCAAAAAATGGGCAAATGGTCTGAGGTGCCTGACATCCAGGCATTCTTTTACACATTGGTCCCTCCCTAGTCTCTGCTCCCAATGCAACTCGTCCCAAATCTTTCTTCTTTCTCTCCTGTCAGTTCCTTCAGTCTCCACCCCAAGCTCTGAGTCATGTGAATCCTCGTTTTCTACAGACCCATCTGACCTTTCCCCTCCTCCCCAGGCTGCTCCTTGCCAGGCCAATCCAGGTCCCAACTCTTCTTCAGCCTCCACTCCCCCACCCTATAACCCTTCTATTACCTTCCTTCATCACGCCTGGTCTGGCTTACAGCTTCATTCGGCGACTAGCCCTCCCCCCCTGCCCAACAATTTCCTCTTAGAGAGGTGGCTGGAGCTGAAGGCATAGCCAAAGTTAATGCTCCTTTTTCTTTATCCAACCTCTCCCAAATCAGTTAGCGTTTAGGCTCTTTTTCACCAAGTATGAAAACCCAGTGCATGGCCCGTTTGGCAAGAACCCTTAGACACTTTACTGCCCTAGACCCAGAGGGGCCAGAAGGCTGTCTTATTCTCAATATGCATTTTATTACCCAATCCCCTCCTGACAGTAGAAAAAGCTCCAAAAATTAGATTCTAGCCCTCAAAACCCACAACAGGACCTAATTAACCTCGCCTTCAAGGTGTACAATAATAGAGTAGAGGCAGCCAAGTAGCAACTATTTCTGAGTTGCAATTACTTGCCTCTACTGTGAGAGAAACTCTAGCCACATCTCCATCACACAAGAACTTCAAAACGTCTGAACTGCAGTGGCCAGGTGTTCCTCCAGGACCTCCTCCCCAAGGAGCTTGCTTCAAGTGCCAGAAATCTGGCCACTGGGCCAAGGAATGCCCGCAGCCTCGGATTCCTCCTAAGCCATGTCCCATCTGTGCAGGACCCCACTGGAAAATGGACTGTCCAACTCACCCGGCAGCCACTCCCAGAGCCCCTGGAACTCTGGCCCAAGGCTCTCTGACTGACTCCTTCCCAGATCTTCTCGGCTCAGCAGCTGAAGACTGACACTGCTTGATTGCCTGGGAAGCCTATAGGACCATCACAGACACTTTGGATAACTCTTACAGTGAAGGGTAAGTCCGTCCCCTTCATAATCAATACAGAGGCTACCAACTCCACATTACCCTCTTTTCAAGGGCGTGTTTCCCCTGCCTCCATAACTGTTGTGGGTATTGATGGCCAGGCTTCTAAGTTCTCTTAAAACTCCCCAACTCTGGTGCCAACTTGGACAACATTCTTTTATGCTCTCCTTTTTAGTTATCCCCACCTGCCCAGCTCCCTTATTAGGTTGAGACATTTTAACTAAATTGTCTGCTTTCCTGACTATTCCTGGGCTACAGCCACACCTCATTGCCGCCTTTCCCCCCAATTCAAAGCCTCCTTCACATCCTGTCCTTGCATCTCCCCACCTTAATCCACAAGTATAGGACACCTCTACTCCCTCCTTGGCGATGGATGATGCACCCCTTACCATCACATTAAAACCTTATCACCCTTACCCCGCTCAACGCCAATATCCCATCCCACAGCACGCTTTAAAAGGATTAAAGCCTGTTATCACTCGCCTGTTACCACATGGACTTTTAAAGCCTATAAACTCTCCTTACAATTCTCCCATTTTACCTGTTCAAAAACCAGACAAGTCTTACAGGTTAGTTCAGGATCTGTGCCTTATCAACCAAATTGTTTTGCCTATCCACCCTGTGGTGCCCAACCTGTACACTCTTTTGTCTTCAATACCTTCCTCCACAACTCGCTATTCCATTCTTGATGTTAAAGATGCTTTTTTTCACTATTCCCCTACACCCCTTGTCCTAGCCTCTCTTTGCTTTTACCTGGACTGACTCTGACATCCATCAGTCCCAGCAGCTTACCTGGGCTATGCTGCTGCAAGCCTTCAGGGACAGCCCTCGTTACTTCAGCCAAGCTCTTTCTCATGATTTACTTTCTTTCCACCCCTCCACTTCTCACCTTATTCAATATATTGATGACCTTCTACTTTGTAGCGCCTCCTTTGAATCTTCTCAACAAGACACCCTCCTGCTCCTTCAACATTTATTCTCCAAAGGATATCAGGTATCCTCCAAAGCTCAAATCACTTCTCCATCTGTTACCTACCTCAGCATAATTCTTCATAAAAACACACGTGCTCTCCCTGCCAATCATGTCTGACTGATCTCTCAAACCCCAATCCCTTCTACAAAATAACAACTCCTTTCCTTCCTAAGCATGGTTGGATACTTTCGCCTTTGGATACCTGGTTTTGCCTCCTAATGAAACCATTATATAAACTCACAAAAGGAAACCTAGTTGACCCCATAGATCCTAAATCCTTTCCCCACTCCTCTTTCCATTCCTTGAAGACAGCTTTAGAGACTGCTCCCACACTAGCTCTCCCTGCATCCCAAACCTTTTCATTACACACAGCCAAAGTGCAGGGCTGTGCAGTCGGAATTGTTACACAAGGACCAGGACCGTGCCCTGTAGCCTTTTTGTCCAAACAACTTGACTTTACCGTTTAGGCTGGCCATCATGTCTCTGTGCAGTGGCTGCCACCACCCTAATACTTTTAGAGGCCCTAAAAATCACAAACTATGCTCAACTCACTCTCTACAGTTCTCACAACTTCCAAAATCTATTTTCTTCCTCCCACCTGATGCATATACTTTCTGCTCCCCAGCTCCTTCAGCTGTACTCACTCTTTGTTGAGTCTCCCACAATTACCATTGTTCCTGGCCGGACTTCAATCCAGCCTCCCACATTATTCCTGATACCACACCTGACCCCCATGACTGTATCTCTGATCCACCTGACATTCACTCCATTTCCCATATTTCCTCCTTTTCTGTTCCTCATCCTGATCACACTTGGTTTATTGATGGCAGTTCCAGCAGGCCTAATAGCCACTCACCAACAAACGCAGGCTATGCTATAGTGTCTTCCACATCTATCATTGAGGCTACTGCTCTGCTCCCTCCACTACTTCTCAGTAAGCTGAACTCATTGCCTTAACTCAGGCCCTCACTCTTGCAAAGGGACTACACGTCAATATTTATACTTACTCTAAATATGTCTTCCATATCCTACACCACCATGCTGTTATATGGGCTGAAAGAGGTTTCCTCACTACTCAAGGGTCCTCCATCATTAATGCCTCCTTAATAAAAACTCTTCTCAAGGCTGCTTTACTTCCAAAGGAAGCTGGATTCATTCACTGCAAAGGCCATCAAAAGGCATCAGATCCCATTGCTCAAGGTAACACTTATGCTGATAAGGTAGCTAAAGAAGCAGCTAGCATTCCAACTTCTGTCCCTCACGGCCAGTTTTTCTCCCTCTCATCAGTCACTCCCACCTACTCCCCCACTGAAACTTCCACCTATCAATCTCTTCCCACACAAGGCAAATGGTTCTTGGACTAAGAAAAATATCTCCTTCCAGCCTCACAGGCCCATTCTATTCTATCATCATTTCATAATCTCTTCCATGTAGGTTACAAGTTGCTAGCCCGCCTCTTAGAACCTCTCATTTCCTTTCCATCTTGGAAATCTGTCCTTAAGGAAATCACTTCTCAGTGTTCCATCTGCTATTCTACTACTCCTCAGGGATTGTTCAGGCCCCCTCCCTTCCCTACACATCAAGCTCAGGGATTTGCCCCGGCCCAGGACTGGCAAATTGAATTTTCTCACATGCCTCAAGTCAGGAAACTAAAATAACCTCTTGGTCTGGGTAGACACTTTCACTGGATGGGTAGAGGCCTTTCCTACAGGGTCTGAAAAGGCCACCGCGGTCATAATTTCTTGGTTTGGCCTTCCCACCTCAATACAGTCCGATAACGGACCGGCCTTTACTAGTCATATCACCCAAGCAGTTTCTCAGGCTCTTGGTATTCAGTGAAACCTTCATACCACTTACCGTCCTCAATCTTCACGAAAGGTAGAACAGGCTAATGGTCTTTTAAAAACACACCTCACCAAGCTCAGCCTCCAACTTAACAAAAAGGACTCTGTCAAGAATAGAGCCCAAAAACTCACCAACCAAACAAGTAATTACGCTGAACCCCCTTGGACACTCTCTAATTGGATGTCCTGGGTCCTCCCAATTCTTAGTCCTTTAATACCTGTTTTTCCCCTTCTCTTATTCAGACCTTGCGTCTTCTGTTCAGTTTCTCAATTCATACAAAACTGCATCCAGGCCATCACGAATCTTTGTATATGACAAATGCTCTTTTTAACAACCCCACAATATCGCCCCTTACCACAAAATCTTCCTTCAGCTTAATCTCTCCTACTGTAGGTTCCCACGCCGCACCTAATCCCACTCGAAGCAGCCCTAAGAAACATCACCCATTATCTCTCCATACCACCCCCAAAAAATTTTCACCGCCCCAACATTTCAACACTATTTTGTTTTATTTTTCTTATTAATATAAGAAGACGGGAATGTCAGGCCTCTGAGCCCAAGCCTGCACATATACATCCAGATGGCCTGAAGCAAGTGAAGAATCACAAAAGAAGTGAAAATGGCTGGTTCCTGCCTTAACTGATGACATTCCACCATTGTGATTTGTTCCTGCCCCACCTTAACTGAGTGATTAACCTTGTGAAATTCCTTTCCTGGCTCAGAAGCTCCCCCACTGAGCACCTTGTGACCCCCGCCCCTGCCCATAAGAGAGCAAACCCCTTTGACTGTAATTGTCCACTACCCACCCAAATCCTGTAAAACAGCCCCACCCCTATCTCCCTTCCCTGACTCTCTTTTTGGACTCAGCCCACCTGCAACCAGGTGAAATAAACAGCCTTGTTGCTCACACAAAGCCTGTTTGGTCGTCTCTTCACGCGGACGTGCGTGACAATGGGCTCAAGTCGTCCTCCCACCTCAGCCTCCTGAATAGCTAGGGACTACAGGCATGCACCACCATGCCTGGCTAATTTTTGTATTTTTTGTAGAGAAAGAGTTTCACCATGTTTCCCAGGCTGGTCTTGAACTCTTGAGCTCAAGCGATCTGTCTGCCTTGGTCTCCCAAAGTGCTGGGATTACAGGGATGAGCCACCATGCCCGGCCTTGAATAGCCACTTTGGATCCCCATTTGAAACTCCCTTCTGTTGGAATTCCAAAAACTTTTCTGCACAGTCCTCTACCCAAATGCCCTTGTGTAATATACACCTCTGTGTTACAGTCTTGTTGCAGACAAAGTGCAAATACTAGGGTTCAGGTGAGGCCATTCCAAATTATTTTCAAGGAATGAGGTTTGCTTCTAAAGATGCCTGTTTGAGATGTTTCAGAGCCCACCTTCCTGAAGATGTATATTGGTATCTGATACAATGAACTTTGATGTATACTCATTGATCCAGTACTTAAAGATGGACTATTATTGAATGTTCTTGACAAGAGAAATGACATTATAGAAGTCTAGAGTTCACCTAGTATGCCAACATGACTATAGCAGTTGTTAGAATTTTGACATACAGCTGACCCTTGAACAAGGCAGGGGTTAGGGGTGCTGAGCCTCATGTAGTCAAAAATATGCATGTAACTTTTGATTATCCCAAATCTTAATAGCCTGCTGTTAACCAAAAGTCTCACTGATAACACAGTAATATGTGGTAATAATAATTTTTTTTTTTTTGAGATGGAGTCTCGCTCTGTCACCCAGGCTGGTGTGCAGTGGTGCAATCTGCGCTCACTGCAACCTCCACCTCCCAGATAAAAGTGACTCTCGTCCTTCAGCCTCCCAAGTAGCTGGGATTATAGGCACTCGCCACCACGTCTAGCTAATCTTTGTATTTTTAGTAGAGATGGGGTTTCACCATGTTGGCCAGGCTGGTTTTGAACCCCTGACCTCCGGTGATCCGCCTGCCTTGGCCTTTCAAAATGTTGGGATTACAGGTGTGAGCCAACATGCCAGGCCTGTGTTAATAATAATTAAGACATTTTATATGTTATATAGATCATATACTGTATTATTACAATAAAGTAAACTAGAGAAAATAAAGTATTATTAAGAAAATTATGGGCCAGACACAGTGGCTCACATACCAGTTGTTGCCATACCAGTTGTTGGTTTTTTTGAATGTCATTCCTGTAGACGTGTGCTTTGGGAAAATTTTGCTGGCAACAGTGTCTAAGGGGTTAGAGAAGGGAAGACCCCAGAGCCAAATAATTCAGCAACAAGTCTGTTGTCTTAATCAGGAGGTCAGGTGGTAAGCGCTTGGTCTAATGTGACAGAGGAGAGAACTAATCTGAGCTGCCTGTCATCTTAAGAGGAACAAAGCCTCCTCCAGCGTGTTTAGGACTCAACCTCTGGAAAGTATGGACAGGTAGAAACCTAGTCCCACTCCCAGGGTAACAAGGCCAGAACAGGACCACCAGCAACATCAGCTTATTACTAAGTTAGAAAATTTATAAATTCAGAAAATTTGTAAATTGTCTAGTTCAGTTCAGTCTGGGATGAATTTGAGCCAACAAGTGAGCCCTTACAGGGCAAAAGGGATACGAGATCACAGAATGAAGAGGGTGCAAGGAAAGGGACCAGCAGGGGAAAGTGTGGGGGATCAAACCAGAAAAGGACAGTCATCAGGCAAATTATGATAGAATGTCATCAAGAAGAATGAAGACTGGAAATAATTATACATTTTTTGATTGGGGGTGACTAGAAGTGTCACTGTAGGGATTAAGATGGGAATGGATGAAGAAGAAAATGCATAGTATGCACTGTGGACTACTGACTCCAAATGACCAGGACTGGGAAACATTAACCCATGAGCTGGCTCAAAAACAGCAGAAACCTATGCTGTGGTTTGGTGGCCGTGGTTCTGTGCAAATGAAAACTCAAGAGAACCCACACTGGGCTGTGACCAGACCTTCTGTTTTATACCTATGTTCTTGATGGTCATCTTTTATAATTATTGACAGCTGGAGGGCAGGGAGAGCATTCTTGCTTTTGTGTCAGAAAACATTCAACATGGAATAGGAGCAGCACTTCATCTGGACGTTAAACCTCTGGTTAAGGATTCCATGCAATAACTGGGCTCAACTCTGAATATATCCTGGATATATTAAATATATGTTAAAATATATTAAAAATATATATTTAATATATATCAGGATCTCAGCCTCCTCCTGAGTGAGGCATCGGAAATGTCTGATCCAGTAAGCAGGCATTGTGTCACACCAGCTGTCACACCGGGACTTCCCCAGCAGGGACAGAATTCCTAAGGGATTATCTCAGAATCACAGAAGTTTCAATTATGTAGGACCTGAAGTTACTCTCCCTCGTTCCTGGAAAATTTTAGGTCCAGGTTTACTAGTTCTATCTCTACAGCTCTAGTCATGATTCTTGGGGGGTTTAGTGTCCATGAAGATGATTCTTCTAGTTCCCTGGCCTTTAAAATTTCCTCAACTTCTTCACCTTTAATGATTTTGTCCTCCACTTCTTAGCCACCCGCTTACTCCCTTAGTCATATACACGTCTAGACTTCATGAATGGCAAGAATTGTATCTACTCCATAGTCTTTAAAATTTTTTTAAGAGACAACAGGGTCTCGTTCTGTCATCCAGGCTGGAGTGCTGTGGTACAGTCATAGCTCATTGCAGCCTTGAACTCCTGGGCGAAAGCAATATTCCTGCCTTAGCCTCCCGAGTAGCTAGGACTACAGGCATGAGCCACTGTGTCCAGCTAATTTTTTATTTTTTATACAGATTTCATTATGTTGCTCACGTTTACTCCATAGTCTTACACTCAAACATCTAAATCTTAAACTGTCTCATATTTTTGAGTCACTTCCTCTAGTACCCCAATTTTAATAATTCTTCAACCCAATGAGGATCTCTAAACTACTGATCCTATTACCTATTTACTCCCCCAAATGCCCTATGTCCTCACTTCCATAGCCAGGACTAGAGGGAGACAAGGGAGAGCCTAGGGTGCAACATCTAAGGAAACACACACTCTCAGGGTCCTGCGAGAGCAGGTGGGCACTTGCAAATTTTGTCTCTTTAAATGGTGCACCCTAGGCACCTGGCCTGTGCCTCACACTAGCCCCAGTCTAACTTACTTCTTACCTAAGCTAGACAGCATAATCCATTATAATAAATACCCAGTGCCTCTCTCCTGTTTATCTGGCAAAACACCACTCTGGTTAAATCCATGCCAGCATCTGAGACATTGCACATGGCTGGAGAAAAACACCCACCCTTGCTCACAGTTCTCATGGACACTAACCTCACAAGGACTTCTCATGCTCCTCAGGAATCTCTCCACATTTCCTAGTCCAGCGGTTCTCGAAGTGAGGTTCCTGGCCCAGCAGCATCAATATCGCCATGTATTAGTCTATTTCCACACTGCTATAATGAATACTACCTGAGACTGGGTCATTTATAAAGAAAGGAGGTTTAGTTGACTCACAGTTTCAAATGGCTGGGAAGGCCTCAGGAAACTTACAATTATGGTGGAAGGCAAAAGAGAAGCAGGCACTTTCTTCACAAGGCAGCAGGAGGAAAGTGAGAAGAACCGAACCATATCACACCAGGAACTTGTTAGAAAAGCAAATTCTCAGGCTCCACCTCAGACCTCCTGAATTAAAAACTCAGAAGGCGGGGCCTGTCAGTCTGCTTTGTCAAGTCCTCCAGGTGATGCTGATGTGCCGTCAAGTTTGAGAGCCACTTCCCTAGTCAACTTATTCTCCCCATCTTGAGACAATTTCATACTTCTCCCCTCTCCTCCAAATTCAGATGGCCCTTCCCCTGTGACACCCACAACCTCCTATCTGAATTTTTTTTTTTTTTTTTTTTTTAGATAGGGTCTTGCTCTGTCACCCAGGCTGGAGTGCAACGGTAAAGCTCACTGCAGCCTCCACCTTCCAGGCTCAAGTGATCCTCCCACCTCAGCCTTCTGAGTAGCTGAGACTATAGACACGCACCACCACACTTGGTTAATTTTGTTTTTTTACATTTTTTGCAGACAGGGGCTTGCTATGTTGCTTAGTTTGGTCTTGAACTTCTGGCCTCAAGCGATTCTCTTGCCTTGGCCTCCCCAAAGTGCTGGGATTACAGGTGTGAGCCACTGTGCCTAACCTCAAATTCTTAATTTACTGAGAAAATCAGAAGATAACCTTCACCTGCTTCCACCACGGATTCTCCTGAGGAGGCTGTGCCTGTGCCTCACACCTGGCCTTCAACCTTCCTGCTACCATCAACCACTTGGGCTGTCCTTAAAGTCCTGTGAAGTGGGTCCCAGCCCCTCTCACCTACTCAAGCACTCAGCTCCTGCAGTTGTGCCCTCTTCCTTCCTACTGGGTAATTCCCATCAGTATTTCATATCTCTTAATCTTTTTTTAAAAAGAAAGAAAAAAAAGAGAAATATTCCCTTAAATCCACATCTTCTTCAAGCTACCACCCAATTTCCCTGATCTCCTTTAAGCCAAAATTCACAAGCCATATCTTTAGTTTCTGTCTCCAGCTCCTCTCATGGGTCATTGTCTCATGGATCTACTCCAGCCAGGCCATGATGCCCACAACTTCACTGACAATGCTATTACCATGTGCTTCCAATTGCTGAGCCCTATGGTCAATTCCCAGCACTCATCTCACCTCCTTGGGGCCCTTTCTGCAATTTCCCTTTGGGTCGTTGACATGCTTTGGCTACACTCACTTCCAAATCTCATCTCGAATTGTAATCGCCACATGTCAAGGGAGAGACCTGGTGGGAGGTGATTGGATCATAGGGGCTGTTTCCCCCATGCTATCCTCATGATAGTGAAGGAGTTCTCACGAGATGTGTTTTTTTTTTTTGTTTTTTGTTTTGTTTTGTTTTTGTTTGTTTTTTTTTAAGTGTCTGGAGTTTCCCCTATGGACGCTCTCTCCTGCCACCATGTAAGTCTTGCCTCTCTTTTCGTTTGCCTTCCACCATGATTGTAAGTTTCCTGAGGCCTCCCCAGCTATGTGGAACTGTGAGTCAATTGAACCTCTTTTGTTTATAAATGATCCAGTCTTAGGTAGTATCTTTATCACAGTGTGAAAGTGGACTGATACAGATGTCATGCCACTTTGAGTTCCCTTCTTACTTCATTGGCTGCTTCCTCTCAAACTCTTTTGGTCTGCATCTTCCTGCCATCTGAATATTGGAGCTCCCAGAGCTCCAGCCTTGGCCACTCTCCCTTTCTGGCTATACTCACTTCCTAGGGGTCTCATACAAGCCCATGGCTTTAAATGCTATTTATATACTAATGACTTAGCCCTCCCATGAGTTGTATAGTCAGTCACTCTGCAACATGGCATTGCCAATATATCTACAAATGAGCTCAATATTCCTTGCCCCACCACCTCAACCCATTCATTCTCCAGCCCTATGCAGCTCTGTCAGTGGCAATGCCAGCCTTTTAGTGGCTCAGGACAAATCTCTGAAGTCATCTTGGATTCCTCTACTTCTCTCACATCCTACATGCATTCCTTTAAGTCCTTTTGGCTCCATCGAAAAAAATGTGTCTGGAGCCTGACCACTTGTCCCCACCTCCACAACACCTCCACACCCAAGCCACCAGTGTCTCTGTCCTAGATTATTTCAGTAGCCTCCGAATGAGCCTGTCAGTCTTCACTCTTACCCCCACAGGCTATTTTTCACACAGCAGCTGAAATAATCCTTATAAAGTATAAACCAGATCATATTACTTTTCTGCTTGGAGCCCTCCAGTGACACATCATCTCAGAATCAATCCAACTGCTTGGCTATGGCTGACAATGGGCATCACTTCCTTTCACTCTCTGAGACCTCTGGCACCTTGCATTGTCTGGATGGGCTTGGTACTTGTATTACCAGAAAGAGGTCCTGATCTAGACCCCAAGAGAGGGCTGTTGGATCTCATGCAAGAAAGAATTCAGGGCAAGTCCATAAAGTGAAAGCAAGTTTATTAAGAAAGTAAAGAAATAAAAGAATGGCTATTCCATAGGCAGAGCAGTGGCCTGGACTGCTCAACTGAGCATACTTATAGTTATTTCTTGATTATATGCTACACAAGGGGTGGATTAATCATGAATTTTCTGGGAAAGGGGTGGGCAATTCCTGGAACTGAGGGTTCCTCTCCCTTTTAGACCATAGGGTTAACTTCTTGACGTTGCCATGGCATTTGTAAACTGTCGTGGTGCTGGTGAGAATATCTTTCAGCATGCTAATGCCTTATAATTAGAGTATAGTAAGCAGTGAGGATGACCAGAAGTCACTTTCATCACCATCTTGGTTATGGTGGGTTTTAGCCAGCTTCTTTACCACATCCTGTTTTATCAGCAAGGTCTTTATGACTTGCACCTTGTGGCCAACCTCCTATCTCATCCCATAACTAAGAAAGCCTGACCTCCTGAGAATGCAGCCCAGTAGGTCTCAGCCTTATTTTACCCAGCCACTTTTCAAGATGGAGTCTGTTTGGTTTAAATGCCTCTGACGCTTGTCGTTCCCTGTGCTGGAATGTTCTTACTCAGATACCCACGCAGCTGCCTTCAAGTCTCTGTTTAAATCGTATTTCATGAGAAAAGCCTTTCACTTCCTTTTAGACAAAAAAGCGCCACTGCAGGGAGGAATGCCAGGGTCCCATAGAGGGAGACCGACAGTGAAGTGGAGCCTGCCATGAATTCACCAAAGGCCATTCTCCCTTTCTTCCAGAAGAACAGCATTTAGCTGGGCCTATGGCTACCTACCTAAAGACTGCACCTCTTAGTCACCCTTGTGGCCAGGTGTGGCCACGTGACAGTGGAATGTAAGTGGAAGTGATGTATGCACTTGGGTTCATTGGTTTAAAAAAAAATATGACCGCCCTCCATTTCCACTCTTTGTCTTATCTGTGAATGGGAACATGGCTGTGTCTGCAGCCCGACTTTGTGCAGCAAAGGACAAGGCCCTAGGGGAAGGTGGAGAAACAAGATGGAACAACTTGGACCCAACAACTTGGATCCCTATGTGGCCATGTGGAGTCATCTCACCCACCTGGGCCACTCACCCCGAAGACTGTTGTGTGAGGGTGAAATAAACTTCTGTATCACTAGCCCCTGCATTTCAGAAATTCTTTGTTATGGCAGTTTTGCCTTTATCCTAACACAGACAGCAAAGTATCTTCTGTGGCCCCATGACTAATTTCGTTGTTTAAACTCATTATAAAAACTATATAAATAAAATATTAAAAATCAAATAAAATAGCAAGATAACACTGTGTAACTATCCAGTTTTAGATGTTATTACCTTTTTGGCATATTTACCTCATCTATTTTCTCCAGGGGTTTTTAAAGAAGAGTCATGCTTGTTATTTTAAATTATCTGCAGTGCTCCTTGGTCTTATAAAACTATGGGTTATTTCAAACTTCGGTAAATGTCTGATACACATGAACTTCTTGCATTGTTGAGGAAATCAGAGAAAAATGATGCTGTTTTTCCCTTGTAAGTTGACAATGGATGGAGATGAAACCACCTTTGCAAAATTATGGCAATAAGAGAAATTGGACATGGCAGACTCCATCTTGCTTTTAGCCTCACAGGTTGGCTGTCTTGGCTCATTCCTGGGCATAAGCCAAGCTAACTTTGGCAGAAATTGAGTTTATAGTGTAAACGATAATAGCCTTTCCCCAAAACTAAACTACCCTTGTAAAATTAATGAAAGGCCACCAAGTTAGGAGGATGAGAAGGGCCTGAATGCCTGAATTCAGCCATTATTCTGGAAGTCACAAGATGTGCAACCTCCCCAGTTACTCCTGTAAATAACTTCAGTATTGTAGAACCTAAGATTGGCCTTTTGACAGCCTTTTGCATTTCTGACAACTAGATGGCCCCACGCAGACCCGTGACTCAACCAGTCCTATAGCCTTCATCCAAAAATGGACTCAGTGCATGAGGACTGTTTTCCACACCCTTATGATTGCATCCCAAACCAATCAGCAGCACCCATACCCTATCCCCTGCACACCAAACTATCTTTGAGAAACTCCTAACCTCTGATTCTTTGGTGAGATTGATTTAAGTAATAACTCTGTCTCCCACATGGCGTGGCTGGCGTCGTGTCAATTAAACTCTTTCTTTACTGCAATGCCATGGTCTCTATGAATTGATTTTGTTTTGCAGTGGGCAGGAAGAACCTGTTGGACAGTAACAGAGAGAAGAGAAGAACCATAAGAAGTGGAATGTGAGGTGGATTGAGAGTTTAGTGGGACCAGGAAATCTAAGCAGGAGTGACCCCAGCAACAGAGGCACCTTAGGGTTTGCAGAAATCATGGGAAAGGCACTGAACTTTCCACAGTATGTAGGATAAGGACTTGAGTCTTTTTTTTTTTTTTTTTTTGAGACATTGAGACAAGGTCTCTTTGTCACTCAGGCTGGAGTGCAGTGGCATAATCATGGTTCACTGCAGCCTCGACTTCCTGTGCTCAAGTGATCTTCCTGCTTCAGCCTCCCAAGTAGCTGGGACGACAGGCAGGTACTACTATTCCCGGCTGGGTTTTTTTGTTTTTTGTTTTTTTTTTGTTTTTGAGACGGAGTCTTGCTCTTTTGCCCAGGCTGCAGTACAGTGGCATGATCTTGGCTCACTTCAACCTCTGCCTCTTGGGTTCAAGCGATTCTCCTGCCTCAGCCCCCCAAGTAGCTGGGATTACATGCACCTGCCACCACGCCTGGCTAAATTTTTGTATTTTTAGTAGAGAAGGTGTTTTGCCATGTTGGCCAGGCTGGTCTCAAACTCCTGACCTCAAGTGATCCACCTGCCTTAGCCTCCCAAAGTGCTGGGATTACAAGGGTGAACCACCACACCCAGCCCATGCCCAGCTAATCAAAAACAAATTTTTTTTTGGTAGAGATGGAGTCTAACTATGTTGCCAAGGCTGGTCTCAAATTCTTGGGCTCAAATGATCCTCCTGCCTCAGTCTTCCAAAGTGCTGAGATTACAAGCATGAGCCACCACACCTGGCTGCCATTTTTATTTTAACATTAAATGTATACATATACTACCCAAGGCTGGAAGACATAGGGACACCAAGATGACAGTTAGTGTGTGCTTTGTATATGTAGGTATGCCTCAGAGATATTATGGGTTTGGGTCCAGACTACTGCAATAAAGCAGATATCACAATAACGTGAGTCACAAGAATATTTTTGTTTCCTTGTGCACATAAAATTGTGTTATTCTACACTGTAGTCTATTAAGTGTGCAATAGCATTATGTCTTAAGAAAGCAATGTATATACCTTAATTTAAAAAATGGTTTATTGCTGAAAAATTTTCATGATCATCTGAGCCTTCAATGACTTCCGTAATCTTTTTGTGGGTAGAGTCTTGCCTTGATGTTGATGGTTGCTGACTAATCAGGGTGGTGGTTGCCAAAGGATGGGGTAGGTGTGGCAATTCTTAAAATAAGGCAGCAATGAAGTTCTCTGCATCAATTGACTCTCCCTTTTATGAAAGATCTCTCCATAGAATGGAATGCTGTTTGATAGCATTTTATCCACCATAGAAGTTCTTTCAAAATTGGAGACAATCCTCTCAAACCTGCTACTGCTTTCTGCTTTATCAACTAAGTTGATGTTATCTTCTAAATCTTCTGTTGTCATTTCAACATTGTACATGGCATCGTCACCAGGACTAGATACCCTCTCCAGAAAGCACTTTCTTTGCTCATCCATAAGAAGCAACTCCTTGTCCATTCAGGTTTTACCTTGAGATGGCAGCATTCAGTCACATCTTCAGACTCTACTTTTGATTCTAATTTTATTGCTATTTCCACCTCATCTGCTGTGACTTTCTCCAGTGAAGTCTTGAACCTCTGCAAGTCATCCATGAGGGTTGGAACCAACTTATTCCAAACTCCTGCTCATGTTGGTATTTTGACCTCTTCCCATGAATCACAAATATTCTTAGTGGCAACCAGAATGGTAAATTCTTTCCAGAATGTTTTCAATATACATTGCCCAGATTCATCAGAGGAATCCTTACGTGTGGCAGTTATAGCCTTAAGAAACGTTTTTCTTAAGAATAAGTCTTTAAAGTTGAAACTACTCCTTGATCCATGTGCTACAGAATGGATATTATGTTAGCAAGCATGAAACAACATTAATCTCTTAGTACATCTCCATCAGAACTCTTGGGTGATCAGAGGCATTGTTAATGAGCAGAAATATTTTGAAAGAAACCTTTTTTTCTGAGCAATAGGTCTTAAAGGGTGGGCTTGACCAGGCATGGTGGCTCATACTTGTAACCCAATTATTTCAGGAGGCTGAGGCGAGAGGATCACTTGAGCTCGGGAGTTCAAGATCAGCCTGGACAACATAGGGAGACCCCATCTCTACAAAAAACTAAAAAGTAATAAAAATTTTTTAAATTAAAAAAAGAGTGGGCTTAAAATATTCAGTAAAAGATGCTATAAACAGATGTGCTGTCACGCAGGCTCTGTTGTTTCATTTAGAGCACACAGGTAGAGTAGATTTAGCATCATTCTGAAGGACCCTAGGATTTTTTGAATGTTCAATGAGCATTGGCTTCAACTTCAAATCCCCAGCAGCATTATCCCCTAACAAGAGAGCCCATCCTTTAAAACCTGGAAACCAGGCATTAACTTCTCTCCAGCTATGGAAGTTCTAGGTGGCATGTTCTTCCAATAGAAGGCTGTTTCATCAGCATTGAAAACCTGTTGTTTAAAGCAGCCACCTTCATCAATGATCTTAGCTAGATCTTTTGGATAACTTGCTGCAGCTTCTGCTTTTGGAGAAAGTGCTTCACCTTGCACTTTGATGTTATAGAGATGGCTTCTTTCCTTAAACCTCATGAACCAACCTTTGCTGGCTTCAAACCTTTCTTCTGCAGCTTCCTCACCTCTCCCAGCCTTCATGGAATGGAAGAGAGTTAGGGCCTTGCTCTGAATTAGGCTTTGGCTTAAGGGAGTGTTGTGGCAGGTTTGAAATTTTATCCTACCACTAAAACTTTCTCCATATCAGCAAGAAGGCTGTTTTGCTTTCTTATCATTTGTGTGTTCACTGGAGTAGCACTTTTAATTTCCTTCCAGAACTTTTTCTTTGCATTCACAACTTCACCGACCCGTGCAAGAGGCCTAGCTTTTGGCCTATCTCAGCTTTAGACATGCCTTCCTCACTAAGCTTAATCATTTCCACCTTTTGTTTAAAGTGAAAGACAAGTAACTATTCCTTTCAGTTGAAAACTTGGAGGCCTTTGTAGGGTCATTAATTGACCTAACTTCAACACTGCTGTGTCTCAGAATAGGAGACCCAAGATCAGGGAGAGAGACAGGGAAACAGCCAGTCGGCAGAACAGTCAGAACACATATGACATTTATAAATTAAGTTCACTATCTTCTACGGGCATGGATCATGGCACCCCAAAACAATTACAATAGTTACATCAAAAATCATTGATCAAAGTCTGGACATAGTGGCTCATACCTGTAATCCCAGCACTTTGGGAGGCTGAGGCAAGAGGATTACCTAAGCCCAGGAGTTCAAGATCAGCCTGGGCAATAAGGTGAGACCCCATCTCTACAAAAACAGCTAAAAAATTAGCCGGGCATGTTGATGTGCACCTGTGGTCCTAGCTATTCGGGAGGCTGAGGGGAGGCTCTCCTGAGCCCAGGAAGTCAAGGCTGCAATGAGCTGTGTTCATGTCACTACACTCCAGCCTGGATGACAGAGTAAGACCTTGTCTCAAAAATAAATAAATAAATAAATACATAAATAAATAACTGATCACAGATCTCCATGTATATATAATAATAATGAAAAAGTTAAAAATACTGTGCGAATCACCAAAATGTGACACAGAGACACGAAGTGAGCACGTGCTGTTGAAAATGGAACTGGTAGGCTTGCTTAACACAGAGCTACCACAAACTTTCCTTGTTTTTGTTTTTTGTTTTTTGTTTTTTTGAGATGGAGTTTTGCTCTTGTTGCCCAGGCTGGAGTGCAATTGCACAATCTCAGCTCACCACAACCTCCACCTCCCGGGTTCAATCAGTTCTCCTACCTCACCCTCCTGAGTAGCTGAGATTACAGGTATGCACCACCAAGCCCAGCTAATTTTGTATTTTTAGTAGAGACGGAGTTTCTCCATGCTAGGCAGGCTGGTCTTGAACTCCCGACCTCAGGTGATCCACCCGCCTTGGCCTCCCAAACTGCTGGGATTACAGGCGTGAGCCACCGTGCCCAGCCAAACCTTCCATGTTTTAAAAATGCAGTATCTGAGAAGTGCAATAAAGTGAAAAACAGTAAAACAAGGTATGCCTGTGTGTGAATGAAGAAATGGATAAAAGAATGAACCTAGACTGTACTACCAGGTACAATACCAACTCTGGTATTTAAACCATAGGGGAGCATCCCAAACCATGCCAGATAAATGAGTCATGCTCTATCAACAACAGTAAGAGTCTTTAGACTTGCTCCAGAATTGTAAGTCTACAGTGGCACTCCCTCACTTGGGCCTGTGCTGATCCTTCCTTTGGCTTTGTCTTTGCAGTTACTGACTCTCAGGCTCTGTGTCCACCTCTTTCACAGCTATGAATGGGGAAACTATCCAAGGCTGATTCTCCACTTGCTTGTGAGGTGTTCAATTTGCTTTATTTGACCATTTTTTTCTCCTAGTAAGAAGCAAGAAAATCCACCATAAGCTCTGAGGAACAATCACACCAGACTGAGCATTTTTATTTCTTGAGCCTTTGCCTAAGAAAGAGTGTGGATCATACTTTCTAATACAGTCAGGATGGAATATCAAAATGTGAGTATATCATGTCCAAGCAGCAGGTGGGGGCCCCATAAGAGAGGTGCTGGTTTAAAAGTCTTTCCCTCATGATTTTCAGATTTTCCTAATTGGGGCTACAAGTTCATATTCAGATGTTGTGTTTCTTCTGATTTTGGAATCTGTAAACCTTCCCCCTCTCCCTACGGAAGCCCTAGTTTTTGCAACAGCTCTCCATCTGCACATGCATCTCATTGTGGGGTGCAAAGGGCTGGTGGCGAGATTTTCCAGTGTGCCTGGCTAACCTGTCATAACTAAAATTTATGGAGCAAAATAGAAATGTAGGTGGTTGCTGTGTTGTCACAATGACCGTGAATTGAGTTTGGGGACTGTATGAAAATAGAGGAATATTCTTGGTTTGATGGAAATGTATAGTGTATTTTCCGGCAATTTCTCAAATTCAGTTATTCAAATCTCACATCTATTTAAGCCGGTCTATGGATCCTGTGTAGGGGATCAAATTACACAGATTGAATTCTTGACAAAATTTCTGGAAACAGGACCCTTTCAGGTTTATCAAATTCTACGTGGGTCTGTGTCTTTCATTGTCCTTGACTATTTTGCAAATCTGTAGAAATTGAAGTTAAGTGGTGGAAGGTTGGTGGTGATGTACATGATTCCTGTTCTTAGAAATAAGAATGACTTTTGTCCAATGAAGGTGTATTGATTTCCACTCTATGGAAGAGGCTAGTTTTGCATCTATAGGCAAAATTAATTCAATATTTCTGATTGCCTATATATGTGTTTTGTCCTTGAATTCTCCTTTCAACCAATTTTTACTTCTTACTGGTTTCCTTATTAAATAATAAGTGAAATAGACTGGGCGCGGTGGCTCACGCCTGTAATCCCAGCACTTTGGGAGGCCGAGGCAGGCAGATCACGAGGTCAGGAGATCGAGACCATCCTGGCTAACATGGTGAAACCCCGTCTCTACTAAAAATAGAAAAAATTAGCTGGGCGTGGTGGTGGGCACCTGTAGTCCCAGCTACTTGGGAGGCTGAGGCAAGAGAATGGCGTGAACCCGGGAGGGAGAACTTGCTGTGAGCCGAGATTGTGCCACTGCACTCCAGCCTGGGCGACAGAACGAGACTCCGTCTCAAAAAAAATAAATAAGTAAAAATAAATAAATAATAAGTGAAACAAGATTTTTGGCATTGTGTAATTGCATGGGTTTTTTAAAAATTACTCTTCAACATCCTGATTCTCCAGCAACTTATTCATTCCCAGAAGTGAGGGTGGCATTGAATGAGAGAAGAATCCTGTGTTTCTGACTCATCATTTACCCAGAAGAGAGTGAGCTGACAGAGCTATGTGAAAGGACAAGATAATGTTTACCCTTATTCCTGGACACCGAGGCTCTAAATTCGAATTTCTTTCAGTATACAGTTATAACATTACGTTTGCACAGCCACATGTGAAGATGTTGTGGTGCTCCTTTTTTTAATCTTACATTTTTAACTAATTTACTTACATAACCAAAAATGAGAAGAACAGGGAAGAATCCTGGTCTTAGAGAAGCAAGATGGAAAATTAAACGCGAGGGGATCTCTCTGTCTCTCCCTCTACCACTTATTTCTTAACCTGTTTGCACGTTAATTTCCTTCTCCCAGACTGGCTTCTCCACAAGCTGTAGACCTGCTGCTAGCATCTCAACATCTCTTAACTTATATCCTCTGTGGAAAAAACCAAGAACACCATTAGCATAAGCCTTTCAGTAATGCCGGCGTGAAAAGGAGCGTTCTAACTTGGGAAGGAGGGTGGAATTTTTTATAGGGCTTCAGCAGGCAGGGTCAGCTCAAGTTCACTTTGTTTTAAGAACAAAGATGGTTCCTAGAAAAGGAAGGAATTTTCTTTAGCAATTAGCGGTCACTGTTTGGACAACTTGGATTTTACCAAGAGGAGTGGGAGGAACAGTCCGGTCATGTGTGAGCGGCGGGGGTGGGGAGGAACAGCTACAGTGGACAAGGACATGGAGGCCTACAGTGGAAAATTTTCATTTCTTCAGAGTCTCTTACATCTTACAGTCTCAGGACCTTTGAGAGCCTTCTCCCCACTTCAGTCAATCTGACTTGCTTATCCCTGGACCACTCACTGTGGTCAAGGAGGCAGAGTCAAAGAAGAGACTGTTTCTGGTCAGACCTGAAAGCTAGAACAGGGGGAGGAGCCACTCTTTAAAAAGAGGGAGCAGCGGGCTGGGCGCGGTGGCTCACGCCTGTAATCCCAGCACTTTGGGAGGCCGAGGCGGGAGGATCACAAGGTCAGGAGATCGAGACCATTCTGGCTAACACGGTGAAACCCCGTCTCTACTAAAAATACAAAAAATTCTCCGGGCGTGGTGGCAGGCCCTGTAGTCCCAGCTACTCCGGAGGCTGAGGCAGGAGAATGGTGTGAACCCGGGAGGCGGAGCTTGCAGTGAGCCGAGATCGCGCCACTGCACTCCAGCCTGGGCGACAGAGTGAGACTCAGTCTCAAAAAAAAAAAAAAAGGGAGCAGCCCAGACTTGGCTGATGAGGGCATCGCAGTAACAGGGCAGCCCTCGCCTTCCTCCCCATTTGTGTCTACGAAACCCTTCTTTTCCTCCTTCCAGGTGAAAGGCTCAGTGCTGCCTGTCGGGAGCACTGCTTCGAGGAGACCGATCCAGAGAACTTTCAGCCTAGGGAGTACGGCGCGCAAACCCAGCTGAGGTGAAAGTCTCATTGGGGAGCAGCTCCCAGCACAAACTGCTGAAAGGCTGGCCGCAGCCCTGCTGCCCAGATTTCTTCTTCAGCACTCTCTAACTCCCTAGAGCTTTTAAAATGTCCCCTGTGGTCACTCTGTATACCAGGGAAGACAAACGGGTTTGGCTTCATGCCTGCATTGGCAGTGCTGGGTGCCTCTTCATCCTTCTCTCTCTCCTCTTTTTGGCAGAAAAACCCTTTTCAAATATCCAAGCCCCTTCTTCTCTATAAAAAATAAGACAGATGTGAGCTATGAACATCGTTACTGGTGAAAAAATTAAGATTTAGGAAAGGAAATATCTGTCCTCATCATTTTGCCAGAAGAGCAGAGTAGTTACAGTCATGGACTTTAACTCAAAATCCACAGAATTTGAGTCCTGGCTTCCCACTTACTGATTCCGTGACCTTGGGCAAATACTTAACCTCAGTAAGCCCCAGCTTCTTATTTAGGAAATGGGGAATAACATGTACCTCAAAATTTAGGGGAATAATGCATGTAAAGAATATGCCATTGTGTCTGACATATATTAAAATCCAAAATTACAGTAATTTTTGTGATTATAAAAATGATGGTGATAACATGAAAGTAACTAATTAAATAAAATTATGTATATTAAAAATATAAAAATATGATTTTACCACCATCACCACTCCCAATATTAGCATTTTTAAAATAGAATTTTACAATTAAGACCTCAGATGATCTCACGTGGTGGTCAAGCTGTCACTTCTCTAAAGTGGCCTCAATTGCTCCAGGGCCAGAAAGTAGGAAAATTGGAACACAGGAGCGCTGGGCATGACGTCTCATGCCTGTGATCCCAGCAATTTGGGAGGCTGAGGTGGGCAGATCACTTGAGGTCAGGAGTTCAAGACCAGCCTGGCTAACACGGTGAAACCCTGTCTCTACTAAAAATACAAAAATTAGCCAGGGCGTGGTGGCAGGTGCCTGTAATCCCAGCTACTTGGGAGGCTGAAGAAGGAGAATTGCTTGAACCTGGGAGGCAGAGGTTGCAGTGAGCTGAGATGGCACCACTGCACTCCAGCCTGGGCAACAGAGTGAGACTCTGTCAAAAAGAAAGATGAAAGAAAGAAGAAAGAAAAGAAAAGAAAGAAAGAAAGAAGAAGGAAAGAACAGAAAGAAAGAAAGAAAAAGAAAAGAAAGAAAGAAAAAGAAAGAAAGAAAAAAGAAAGAAAGAAAGAAAGAAAGAAAGAAAGAAAGAAAGAAAGAAAGAAAGAAAGAAAGAAAGGGAGGGAGGGAGGGAGGGAGGGAGGGAGGGAAGGAGGGAGGGAGGAAGGAAGGAAGGAAGAAAGAGAGAAAAAAAGAAACACAGGAAACCTCTGCCCTGAAGAATGGGGTACGTAGACCAGGGACCAGGTCCCCTCATTTCAGTGTTACCTCCAGGCTCTGTGTGTGTGTGTGTGTGTGTGTGTGTGTGTGTGTGTGTGTGTGTGTGAAGGCAGGGGTGGGGTGAGCATGTGTGCACGTGGGGATGTGTATGTGTGTGCATCCATGTGCATCTTTGTGCCTGGATCTGTGTATGTTCATGGGATGTGATGATTAAACAGTATGTGACATCAGAAATTATCAACATTGACACTGATTACAGATGCTGGAAAATTAGCAATGTAGAAAGGGGAAATGAAATTTGGCTTAGCTGTGAAAAAGTAATACTAATTACAGTCATTTACATGAGCCCCTCACCATTTATGCTTAATTACCATGCAGCACAATCATAATCATGTGTATCATTAAATACGTGCCCAGTTAACTTTCATGTACGTTGTCTTGATTAGAATGATGGGCTCTGCTCTACTTAGACGTTCTGCTCAGACTTTATAGTACGTGGAGTGTGCAGCTTGGACACTCATTCACGGAGACATTGCTTAAAGTCCCTGCTACTTCAGGGGCTATCAAGAGGGACCTGACTCCCCAGATTCCAGAACTGCTTGCCAGGCTGTATTGACAGGTACTGTAGTTTGAGAAAGCCCTCTCAACCGCATCCCAATGCAGGGAAGAAGAAAGTATTGGACTCTCTCCCTTTTCTTCCTCTCCCATCCCCACAGGATATCAGAGGGCCCAGGGAGCTCACCTCCCACAGCTAAGGGGACATACATAGCTAAAAGGACAGGACACATCTGTACACAATCACTGTCCCCTCCCCCAACCCCCCACACACATCATAAGATAGTATCAGAGAGATACAGAGAGAAATAGAAAGACATGCAAGCCAAGAGACATGGAGAGAGCAAAAAAGAGATGTAAGAGGCACCAAGAGAGGCAGACAGAAGCAGAGACAAGTAGAGAGGCACGCGGACAGAGAGAGAGATATAAAAAGTGGGAGATATGAGAGTGATCTGGCTGTGACATCTGTCACCCCATTGACTGCCAGGGTTGAATTGGCTGATCTGGCAGTCTGGGTGGGTGTCCCCTTCCTCCCTCATGGCTCCATGTGTGTCTCTCCTGAAGCTGTGCGCTCCCTGGAAGAGGACGACCATCCCTGATAGACCGGTCTTCCGTCAAGGCCAAGAGTAACTGCGCTCCCCTGCTAGAACCTCCAAACAAGCTCCCCAAAAGTGGGATAGAGACACAGCCACAGAGGGAGCCAGTTTAGACGCCTTGACAGGCCTGGTTGTTTTTCTCTGATGCTCCATTAGATAAAATAATTCCCACAAGCCAACCCAGTGAATTGTAGGGTCCCTCCTTATCCTGAATACTGAGGAAAAAGAAAGAGGGGGATGAAAAGACAAGGGGAGGAAGGAGAAGATAAGGAGCTAGAATAACAGAAAGACAGAGACAGAGACAAAGAGAGGTCAGGAACAGAGAAGAGCGTCTTAGGCAGGTGAGTGGATCTGCAGGACCCTTGGTCAGGACCCACCTAGTTAAAGGTTGTGGAAACAGAAAAGAAATGTGGTGATATATCCATGTTCCCTCTTTGTTATGATAAAATGTCCAAGTCCTTTATGGGTTGTGTAGATATGAAACTTTATTGGGCACTTACCATGTACCTGGACCCAGGTTAAATGCTTTCACATATTTGACTCATTCAATTCTCAAAACGACCCTGTCTTGCAGGTACTATCATGATGCTCATTTTATGGGGGGGAGAAAAAAAACTAGGTGGTAACTTGCAAGTAACTTGCCCAAAGTCACCTAGGCGGTAAATGAGATCAAAATCCTGCAATCTGGCTCCAGAGCCTGTGTTCTCCACTACAACACAATACGCTATAACTGTAGCAAAGCTGGTTACGTAATAACTGATAGTTCAGGGATCCATGATTTCAAAGCATTCTTGTTTAATTATAGTGTATTTCAAATTAATGTAATATGCAATTTAATCAACATTCCCAGGATAAATAATTTTCATTTCAATCAAGACTACCTTGTCAGCTCAGCAAGGGCAGCGGGGCAGGATTCTCGTGTTGTGGTTAGCAAGAGAGAAATGGACACCCCGTGGGGTTTAGTTACTCTTTATGACTGTCACACAGTGTGGCTGGGCAGACTCCAGTCTTCCACCTCTGTGGTCCCACTTGCTGCCATGAGTTTGGGTTCTGTTACTTTTCAGCTGAAAGACCTTGAAGAGATTGGGATTTGGTTCTTCAGTAACTCCAATTTCCCCTATGGAAGCTTATGCAAAACTCTCCATCAGCTTTCTAATCTATTAATAAATAATGATAGTTTTTAAAAGAAATCACTTGGTTACCATCCTTGGAGATTAATTACGTGATTAATTTAGGTAAGTGCTTATGAAATATAAAGTGCTTCATAAGTCCTAGGGATTTATGCTCCAGCATTCTCATTAGGCCTAGAGGACAAAAATTCTCTGCTGCCTTTCCTTCTCCTCCTCCTCCTCCTATCTTTTTCTCCTTTAATAAAAATAGATTTCACAAACATTGCTCAAATTGGATCACAGACTTAAATACAAAATGCAACACTATAAAACTTCTGAAAGAAAACATAAGAGAAAATCTGTGTCCTTGGGTATGGTGATGAGTTTTTAGATACAACATCAAAAACACCATCAAGAAAAAAATAATAAATTAGAGTTTATTAATAAAAACTTTAGCTCTGCAAAAGACATTATTAAGAGAATCAAAACACAAGCTACAGATTGGGAAAAATATTTGCAAAACACATATCATATAAAATACTTTATCCAAAATATAAAAAGACCTTTTAAAACTCAAAAATCAGAAAGCAAAGAACCCAATTAAAAAAATAGAAGTAGTGCGTACACATGTTACTCAGGGCTTAACATTTCTCCAAGGTTTCTGGGCTTTCTCAGTCAACCCAATCCCTCTACTTTCTCTCCTCCAGCTCTTCCTTACATGTTTGGCCCTCTGAAGACCTTTTCCTAGTCTTCTTTTCCTAGTCTCCAATGAGTTTTCAATGCTATTTATTTATCACTTTAAAATTATTTCTGTCTTTTCAATGGGATCTTGGGAGGGAAAGCAGTTGATGTATTCCCTGTCTGACATCTTGAACATCTTCAACTTGAAACCTGTTGTATTTATGTTATATTTACAATTCAAAAGAGCTGTGAGTTTATGACTTAAGAACTATAGAAGCAACTTTACAAGAGCCTGAGAGCACCTGCCCATGTATAAACAAGGTCACAGAATATAAAATCTACAAAGAAAATTGACTACACCAGGAGGTAGTCATTCTATTGCAAGTTTTGCAGGTGCAGTTCCAGGGACTTTTATTTAACCAGTATAGTTCCTGGGCTCCTGGCTACTAAATTTTAAAGCTGCCAATTTAAGACTGGGAGAGGACATACATTTGTGGTTATACATCTGCAGATATACATTTGAGGTATACATCTGCGGTTTCTTCAACTGCAGGCTAGCTAAAACATATCTGGTGCTAACACAGGTGAAGGGAAGGGATCACTAAGATAAGAGATGACAAGATCTGGTGATGAGCCTTTGGAGGAGAAAACTCCATCCACCAGCACATTGCCTGTCCCTTGCCCATCAGAAATAATGTTCCTCTGTGCTTGTACTTCTCTGTGAGAGAAACACCCATGCACTGGCAGGACATCCCAGGAATGGAAAGTGAGATCCCATACCCTTGCAAGTGTGGTACTGACATGAAATGAGGGCTCTTATACCTATCTAAGTTGGAACTGGGCAAAATAAGCTCAGGGTCTCCTGTGGAAGAATGAGCTGTGGCTATTCCGAATGGAACATCACCACTTGTTACATGGCATTGTGCCCAGAACTCAATGTATATCACCTCCTTTCATCACCCCAAGAATGTATGAAACAACGGCAATTATTATCACCATTGTACAGGTAAGGGAGGTTAAGCAACTCTCCTAGGATCACTGAGCTGGCATTAGAGCCAGGACTGTCTGATATCAGGTCCTCTGCTTCCACCTCCTTTCTCCTGCATCATTGTTCTTTCAGCAAAATGAGAAGCTGAATATCAATGCCTCTTGTCAGTGCTGACTCTCATCATACTGCACCAACTACCCCTTAGAGAACTCACTGGGAACACAGATGATCGTCATGGACATTTTTACTCCCCAGACTGGAACTCAGGGCACTGAACTGAAAATCCAAAGGAACTGGCAAGGAAAGGAATTCAGTTCTCTGGTTACTGAGTCATAGGTCATCCATGCACCACATTAATTTTCAGTAGGGGGAGGCTTTTGGGGGCAATGAGGGTGCAAAGGGCTTCTTATGGTCCATGGAACCCTTGCCAGCCCAAGAGTCTAGTGGATATTGGTGAGACTTAAGCCTATGCTTCCTTTCTACAGCTACTGATTTTTGAACATATTTAGTAATGTTAAAAAGGGTAGATGACAGTACAAGTTAGTGATTAAGTGCATGACTTTGGAGTCCTACAGTCTGGGTTTGAATCTGGCATAGCTGTTCATACATAGCTACATGTATGACATCAGGCAAATCACTTCCTCTTGCTGAGCCTGGGTTTCCTATAAAATAATTCCACTAGTATCTCATTCATTGGGCCTATTCCTTGCTTAAATGAGATAATGTTTGATAAGTGCCTGCCACATAGATGCACAATAGATTCAATCTATGTACCTATGTATCTATCTTTCTATCTAATCTATTTATCTATCTCCCCACATCATCTCTCTCTCTTTCTCTGTGAGTGTGTGTGTGTGTGTCAGTCTTAATCTGTCATTATCATCAAGATCATTATCATCATCAACATTTTTGTTGCTGGTTAAATTTTTTTGGGGGTGGGGGAGGAGCCAAGATGGCCGAATAGGAACAGCTCCGGTCTACAGCTCCCAGCATGAGCGATGCAGAAGACGGGTGATTTCTGCATTTCCATCTGAGGTACCAGGTTCATCTCACTAGGGAGAGCCAGACAGTGGGCGCAGGTCAGTGGGTGCACGCACCGTGCGCGAGCCGAAGCAGGGCGAGGCATTGCCTCACTCGGGAAGTGCAAGGGGTCAGGGAGTTCCCTTTCCTAGTCAAAGAAAGTGGTGACAGACGGCACCTGGAAAATCGGGTCACTCCCACCCGAATACTGCGCTTTTCCGATGGGCTTAAAAAATGTCGCACCACGAGATTATATCCCGCACCTGGCTTGGAGGGTCCTACGCCCACGGAGTCTCGCTGATTGCTAGCACAGCAGTCTCAGATCAAACTGCAAGGCGGCAGCGAGGCTGGGGGAGGGGCGCCCGCCATTGCCCAGGCTCGCTTAGGTAAACAAAGCAGCCGGGAAGCTCGAACTGGGTGGAGCCCACAACAGCTCAAGGAGGCCTGCCTGCCTGCCTCTGTAGGCTCCACCTCTGGGGGCAGGGCACAGACAAACAAAAAGACAGCAGTAACCTCTGCAGACTTAAATGTCCCTGTCTGACAGCTTTGAAGAGAGCAGTGGTTCTCCCAGCACGCAGCTGGAGATCTGAGAACGGGCAGACTGCCTCCTCAAGTGGGTCCCTGACCCCTGACCCCCGAGCAGCCTAACTGGGAGGCACCCCCCAGCAGGGGCACACTGACACCTCACACGGTACTCCAACAGACCTGCAGCTGAGGGTCCTGTCTATTAGAAGGAAAACTAACAAACAGAAAGGACATCCACACCGAAAACCCATTTGGACATCACCATCATCAAAGACCAAAAGTAGATAAAACCACAAAGATGGGGAAAAAACAGAGCAGAAAAACTGGAAACTCTAAAAAGCAGAGCGCCTCTCCTCCTCCAAAGGAATGCAGCTCCTCACCAGCAACGGAACAAAGCTGGACGGAGAATGACTTTGACGAGCTGAGAGAAGAAGACTTCAGATGATCAAATTACTCCGAGCTATGGGAGGACATTCAAACCAAAGGCAAAGAAGTTGAAAACTTTGAAAAAATTTAGAAGAATGTATAACTAGAATAACCAATACAGAGAAGTGCTTAAAGGAGCTGATGGAGCTGAAAACCAAGGCACGAGAACTATGTGAAGAATGCAGAAGCCTCAGGAGCCAATGCCATCAACTGGAAGAAAGGGTATCAGCGATGGAAGATGAAATGAATGAAATGAAGCGAGAAGGGAAGTTTAGAGAAAAAAGAATAAAAAGAAACGAGCAAAGCCTCCAAGAAATATGGGACTATGTGAAAAGACCAAATCGACGTCTGATTGGTGTACCTGAAAGTGACGGGGAGAATGGAACCAAGTTGGAAAACACTCTGCAGAATATTATCCAGGAGAACTTCCCCAATCTAGCAAGGCAGGCCAACATTCAGATTCAGGAAATACAGAGAACGCCACAAAGATACTCCTTGAGAAGAGCAACACCAAGACACATAATTGTCAGATTCACCAAAGTTGAAATGAAGGAAAAAATGTTAAGGGGAGCCAGAGAGAAAAGTCAGGTTACCCTCAAAGGGAAGCCCATCAGACTAACAGCAGATCTCTCGGCAGAAACTCTACAAGCCAGAAGAGAGTGGGGGCCAATATTCAACATTCTTAAAGAAAAGAATTTTCAACCCAGAATTTCATATCCAGCCAAACTAAGCTTCATAAATAAAGGAGAAATAAAATACTTTACAGACAAGCAAATGCTGAGAGATTTTGTCACCACCAGGCCTGCCCTAAAAGAGCTCCTGAGGGAAGCGCTAAACATGAAAAGGAACAACCAGTACCAGCTGCTGCAAAGTCATGCCAAAATGTAAAGACCATCGAGACTAGGAAGAAACTGCATCAACTAACGAGCAAAATAACCAGCTAACATCATAATGACAGGATCAAATTCACACATAACAATATTAACTTTAAATGTAAATGGACTAAATGCTCCAATTAAAAGACACAGACTGGCAAATTGGATAAAGAGTCAAGACCCATCAGTGTGCTGTATTCAGGAAACACATCTCACGGGCAGAGACACACATAGGCTCAAAATAAAAGGATGGAGGAAGATCTACCAAGCAAATGGAAAACAAAAAAAAGGCAGGGGTTGCAATCCTAGTCTCTGATAAAACAGACTTTAAACCAACAAAGATCAAAAGAGACAAAGAAGGCCATTACATAATGGTAAAGGGATCAATTCAACAAGAAGAGCTAACTATCCTAAATATATATGCACCCAATACAGGAGCACCCAGATTCATAAAGCAAGTCCTGAGTGACCTACAAAGAGACTTAGACTCCCACACATTAATAATGGGAGAATTTAACACCCCACTGTCAACATTAGACAGATCAATGAGACAGAAAGTCAACAAGGATACCCAGGAATTGAACTCAGCTCTGCACCAAGCGGACCTAATAGACATCTACAGAACTCTCCACCCCAAATCAACAGAATATACATTTTTTTCAGCACCACACCACACCTATTCCAAAATTGACCACATACTTGGAAGTAAAGCTCTCCTCAGCAAATGTAAAAGAACAGAAATTATAACAAAGTATCTCTCAGACCACAGTGCAATCAAATTAGAACTCAGGATTAGGAATCTCACTCAAAACCACTCAAATTAGAACTCAGGATTAAGAATCTCACTCAAAACCGCTCAACTACATGGAAACTGAACAACCTGCTCCTGAATGACTACTGGGTACATAATGAAATGAACGCAGAAATAAAGATGTTCTTTGAAACCAACTAGAACAAAGACACAACATACCAGAATCTCTGGGACACATTCAAAGCAGTGTGTAGAGGGAAATTTATAGCACTAAATGCCCACAAGAGAAAGCAGGAAAGATCCAAAATTGACACCCTAACATCACAATTAAAAGAACTAGAAAAGCAAGAGCAAACACATTCAAAAGCTAGCAGAAGGCAAGAAATAACTAAAATCAGAGCAGAACTGAAGGAAATAGAGACACAAAAAACCCTTCAAAAAATTAACGAATCCAGGAGCTGGTTTTTTGAAAGGATCAACAAAATTGATAGACCGGTAGCAAGACTAATAAAGAAAAAAAGAGAGAAGAATCAAATAGACACAATAAAAAATGATAAAGGGAATATCACCACCGATCCCACAGATATACAAACTACCATCAGAGAATACTACAAACACCTCTACGCAAATAAACTTGAAAATCTAGAAGAAATGGATAAATTCCTCGACACATACACTCTCCCAAAAATAAACCAGGAAGAAGTTGAATCTCTGAATAGACCAATAACAGGAGCTGAAATTGTGGCAATAATCCATAGCTTACCAATGAAAAAGAGTCCAGGACCAGATGGATTCACAGCCGAATTCTACCAGAGGTACAAGGAGAAACTGGTACCATTCCTTCTGAAACTATTCTAATCAATAGAAAAAGAGGGAATCCTCCCTAACTCATTTTATGAGGCCAGTATCATCCTGATACCAAAGCCGGGCAGAGACACAACCAAAAAAGAGAATTTTAGACCAATATCCTTGATGAACATTGATGCAAAAATCCTCAATAAAATACTGGGAAACCGAATCCAGCAGCACATCAAAAAGCTTATCCACCATGATCAAGTGGGCTTCATCCCTGGGATGCAAGGCTGGTTCAATATACGCAAAGCAATAAATGTAATCCAGCATATAAACAGAACGAAAGACAAAAACCACATGATTATCTCACTAGATGCAGAAAAGGCCTTTGACAAAATTCAACAACCCTTCATGCTAAAAACTCTCAATAAATTAGGTATTGATGGGATGTATCTCAAAATAATAAGAGCTATCTATGACAAACCCACAGCCAATATCATACTGAATGGGCAAAAACTGGAAGCGTTCCCTTTGAAAACTGGCACAAGACAGGGATGCCCTCTCTCACCACTCCTATTCAACATAGTGTTGGAAGTTCTGGCCAGGGCAATTAGGCAGGAGAAGGAAATAAAGGGTATTCAATTAGGAAAAGAGGAAGTCAAATTGTCCCTGTTTGCAGATGACATGATTGTATATCTAGAAAACCCCATTGTCTCAGCCTAAAATCTCCTTAAGCTGATAAGCAACTTCAGCAAAGTCTCAGGATACAAAATCAATGGACAAAAATCACAAGCATTCTTATACACTAACAACAGACAAACAGAGAGCCAAATCATGAGTGAACTCCCATTCACAATTGCTTCAAAGAGAATAAAATACCTAGGAATCCAACTTACAAGGGATGTGAAGGACCTCTTCAAGGAGAACTACAAACCACTGCTCAAGGAAATAAAAGAGGACACAAAGAAATGGAAGAACATTCCATGCTCATGGGTAGGAAGAATCAATATTGTGAAAATGGCCATACTGCCCAAGGTAATTTACAGATTCAGTGCCATCCCCATCAAGCTACCAATGACTTTCTTCACAGAATTGGAAAAAACTACTTTAAAGTTCATGTGGAACCAAAAAAAGAGCCTGCATCGCCAAGTCAATCCTGAGCCAAAAGAACAAAGCTGGAGGCATCACACTACCTGACTTCAAACTATACTACAAGGCTACAGTAACCAAAACAGCATGGTACTGGTACCAAAACAGAGATATAGATCAATGGAACAGAACGGAGCCCTCAGAAATAACGCCACATATCTACAACTATCTGATCTTTGACAAACCTGAGAAAAACAAGCAATGGGGAAAGGATTCCCTATTTAATAAATGGTGCTGGGAAAACTGGCTAGCCATACGTAGAAAGCTGAAACTGGATCCCTTCCTTACACCTTATACAAAAATCAATTCAAGATGGATTAAAGACTTAAATGTTAGACCTAAAACCATAAAAACCCTAGAAGAAAACCTAGGCATTACCATTCAGGACATAGGCATGGGCAAGGACTTCACGTCTAAAACACCAAAAGCAATGGCAACAAAAGCCAAAATTGAGAGATGGGATCTAATTAAACTAAAGAGCTTCTGCACAGCAAAAGAAACTACCATCAGAGTGAACAGGCAACCTACAAAATGGGAGAAAATTTTCACAACCTACTCATCTGACAAAGGGCTAATATCCAGAATCTACAATGAACTCAAACAAATTTACAAGAAAAGAACAAACAACCCCATCAAAAAGTGGGCAAAGGACATGAACAGACACTTCTCAAAAGAAGACATTTATGCAGCTAAAAAAAACATGAAAAAATGCTCACCATCACTGGCCATCAGAGAAATGCAAATCAAAACCACAATGAGATACCATTTCACACCAGTAAGAATGGCAATCGTTAAAAAGTCAGGAAACAACAGGTGCTGGAGAGGATGTGGAGAAATAGGAACACTTTTACACTGTTGGTGGTACTGTAAACTAGTTCAACCATTGTGGAAGTCAGTGTGGCAATTCCTCAGGGATCTAGAACTAGAAATACCATTTGACCCAGCCATCCCATTACTGGGTATATACCCGAAGGACTATAAATCATGCTGCTATAAAGACACATGCACACGTATGTTTATTGCAGCATTATTCACAATAGCAAAGACTTGGAACCAACACAAATGTCCAACAATGATAGACTGGATTAAGAAAATGTGGCACATATACACCATGGAATACTATGCAGCCATAAAAAATGATGAGTTCATGTCCTTTGTAGGGACATGGATGAAATTGGAAATCAGCATTCTCAGTAAACTATTGCAAGAACAAAAAACCAAACACCGCATATTCTCACTCATAGGTGGGAATTGAACAATGAGAACACATGGACACAGGAAGGGGAACATCATACTCTGGGGACTGTTGTGGGGTGGGGGGAGGGGGAGGGATAGCATTGGGAGATATACCTAATGCTAGATGACGAGTTAGTGGGTGCAGCACACCAGCATGGCACATGTATACATATGTAACTAACCTGCACATTGTGCACATGTACCCTAAAACTTGAAGTATAATACTAATAAATAAATAAATAAATAAATAAATAAATAAATAAATTTTTTTTTTTTGAGACAGAGTCTCGCTCTGTTGCCCAGGCTGGAGTGCAGTGGTGTGATCTCGGCTCACTGCAACCTCCGCCTCCCGGGTTCAAGCGATTGTCCTGCCTCAGCCTCCCGAGTAGCTGGGACTACAGGCACATGCCACCAAACCTGGCTAATGTTTTGTATTTTTAGTAGAGACGGGGTTTCACTGTGTTAGCCAGGATGGTCTCGATCTCCTGACCTCGTGATCTGTCCACCTCGGCCTCCCAAAGTGCTGGGATTACAAGTGTGAGCTCAGCCTTTTGTTGCTGTTTTTAATATCAGGTATAGTTTTTGATGTCCAGTCTCCAATTTGATCACTCCTGAGAATACTTAAGTTCCATTCAACAAGTGTCAGGACCTTCAAGGTTCTTGCCCTCTCCATCTAATTGACCACCGTCAAGTCATTTAACATCGTCCACAGCCTACTCTGATCTCTTACGCCAGTGTCCAGGCCTCACCTCACAGATGCTGTCTTCAGTGTCTGCCTTGTTTCCCACCTGGTCCCTGCTGTCCGTCCAGCCTTGCCTTGTTCCTCTCCCCACCCCACTCCAACTCTGCATACTTCTGCTTGTCCAAGTCTCCTTCCACACAGACTCCTAAGAGCCTGCCTGCAAGAAGTCGCTGTGCCAAGCAGTTATTTCCAGATAGACCCAGACGCTGGGCCGTGTGTGTTCCACATCTGGCCTGTCCTTCACCTAAGCCACAAGCATTTTTTTGAGAATTTCTCATGCCCCAATTCCTGTAGAAAATCCACATTTACTCCACACTCACTCACCTCACATATTGGACAAATGCATTGAGGGGCCACCATGTCTCCAGAGGTAGGCTGCTGAATTGTGAGTGATACAGTAGAAAAATGATGGATTTTTTTTCTTCATTCAGATCTGGATCTGAATCCTGACTGTGTCACTTATTACCAGAATGATTTC
The DNA here is from genome assembly GCF_000001405.40 of Homo sapiens. NCBI lineage: Eukaryota > Metazoa > Chordata > Mammalia > Primates > Hominidae > Homo > Homo sapiens. The sequence goes on from NC_000012.12 coordinate 76,326,682, forward strand.
AAAAATTCCTTGCCTTCTGTGAACCGGAGTTTCATCTTGTATAAAATGGAAATAAAATACTTCCTTTATAGGAATTGTGGGATTATTTTTATTTTTATTTTATTTATTTATTAAAAAACAGAGATGGGTCTCATTATGTTGCCCAGGCTGGTCTCAAACTCCTGGACTCAAGCCATCCTCCCATCTCGGCCTCCCAAAGTGTGAGAATTAACAGGCATGAGCCACCTCGCCTGGTCGTGATTATTTTTTAAAAAATTTATAAGAGGGTCAGGCGCAGTGGCTCACACCTGTAATCCTAGCACTTTGGGAGGCCAAGGTGGGCGCATCATGAGGTCAGGAGTTCGAGACCAGCCTGACCAACATGGTGAAACCCCGTCTCTACTAAAAATACAAAAATTAGCTAGGCATGGTGGTGCGTGGCTGTGTCCCAGCTACTTAGGAGGCTGGGGCAGGAGAATCGCTTAAACCCAGGAGGCGGAGGTGCAGAGAGCCGAGATCACGTCACTCCACTCCAGCCTGGGCAACAGAGCTAGACTCCGTCTCAAAAAAAAAAAAAAAAAATTATATAAGAACACCAAGCTCCAAGCTCCATAAAGAATAGTTCCTTCTTTTCTCCTTCCTGAAGTGAGACTCATCTATTTTCATAGCTTTAACTATTATCTCTATGCAGCTAACTCCTAAATTCAATGGATATTTATTGCATTAAAAATGACTATGCCAGAGAGTTTAGAGAACTTGGTGGCTGCAGTCAACTGAAGGGTGGCCCCCAAAAATATGTCCACACCCGAATCTTTAGAACCTGTGATTATTACCTTATATGGCAAAACATGTGATTAAATTAAGGATTTTTGAGAGGATGATCTTAGCCTGGATTATCCAGGTAGGCTCTAAATCCAGTGATAAGCATCCTCATAAGGGTGAGGTCAAGGGAGATTTGACAGGAGAGGAGGACGAGGCAATGTCACCATAGAGACAGAGCTGGACATGATATGACGACAAACTAAGCTGCTCCTGGAGCTCCCAGAAGCTGGGAGAGGTAAGAAACAGATTTTCCTCAAGAGCCTTCTGAGGGAGAACAGCCCTCCAATGCCTTCAGTGAGATTTCTGGCCTTCAGAACTGTGAGAGAATAAGTTTATGTTGTTTTAAGCCATCCAGTTTGTGATCATTTGCTTTTTCATTTTTTTGGCAGGTGATGGGGTCTCACTATGTTGCCCAGGGTGGTCTTGAACTCCTGGGCTCAAGCAATTCTCCTGCCTCAGCCTCCCACATAGCTGAAATTACAGGCATGTGCCATCATGCCTGGCCTGATTTGTTAAGCAGTCACAGGAAACAAATAAAGTGATAGGGAGGACCCTGAGATAACTGCTAATTTGGGGTTTGAGTGATTACAATAGGAGATGGCGCCCTTTTCCAAGTGTGGAAATAGAAGAGCAGGTTGAAGGAAGAAGCTGGTGAATTCAGTTTTGGACATGCTGAGTGTTGGAACAATCTTCCATGGGTCTCTTGTGATCCTTTACATCTGAATATGCTAAGAATGTAAGGCCTTGACAACTCTTTTGTTTCATTTTTGAGGCAGGGTCTCACTCTGCCACACAGGCTGGAGTGCAGTGGTACGATCTCAGCTCACTGCAACATCCGCCCTCTGTGTTCAAGTGATTCTTGCACCTCAGCCTCCTGAGAAGCTGGGATTACAGTTGCCCGCCCCCATGCCTGGCTAATTTTTGCATTTTTAATAGAGATGGGGTTTCACCATGTTGGCCAGTCTGGGCTCAAACTCCTGACCTCAAATGATCCGCCTGCCTTGGCCTCCCAAAGTGCTGGGATTACAGGCGTGAGCCACTGTGCCCAGCTGGCCTTGACCACTCTTTACCTGGGCCATATCTCAGCCTTCTTTTTGCAGTGAGCAACCTTGAAGGACTCCTTCCAGAACAGGCAGCAAGCTTGCTCATTGCCTGCTATAAAATAGTAGGTTCCTCAAGCTTCCTGTCCTTTCTTGTAACACAATCAACTGCATGTGCAGGCCTCCATCGGGCCCCCCAATTCATCTTCATGGGATTTGGGGTGCAAGGGTAATTGATGCCAGCATGCTAATGCTCATGCTGCTTGCTGTGCTGTGAGTAAAAAGGACCTTTGTCTCTGACTCAGTTTCTTCTGTCTGCATCCATAAAATAGTAACAGGCTAACTTATTTGCTTGAAAGTAGTATAAAATCAAAAGTCAACTGGACCCTGAGTTGAGGGGCCTTGGGGTCTTCCTGTTTCCTGGAAACACCAACTAGGGAGTTGAATAAATAGGTCTGCAGCTCACCAGAGACATTTGGGCTAGAGATAACAGATTTGGAAATTATCAGCTGAGCAGTCATAGTCAAAGCCAAGAATTTAAATCCTGCTACCCAGGAAAATTTTATTAAGTGAAAAGAGGAGAAGAAGAGAAGAAGAGAAGAGGAGAGAAGAGAAGAGAAAGCTAAAGAAACCTGAGGAACACTAACATTTGCGGGTCAAAAAGAAGAACTCAAAAATTAGACAAAAATGATTCAAATATTTTCCTACTGACTCAGCTTTTGTATCTCAGGAATCCTCCACTTACTGACTTTGACTCCTTCCCCTGCATCTAATCAGTGTCAATTCCAGCTAATCTTTGAGTCACACTTTGTCCCACGCCCATCCCTTCTTCCCATTCCTATCTGACATTCTAGTTTATACTCCACATCTATTGCATCAGTTCTTTGCCATAACCTCTTAATAGGTCTCTTTGCTTCCTGCTAATACCCACTAAAATCCATCCCACACAGTGCTGCCAGGTTAATTTTCTTAAAATATTCCTTGGGTTGACTCACTCTTCCTTGTTAGAAATGGTCAATATTTCCCTGGTATGTCATGATTCCTATTCTGTTTTTCTCTACCCATTGATCCTGATTCTTAATGAAAAACAGGAACTGGCATCATAGGGAATAAAATTTAACTGTGAGAGACAAGAAAAAGGACAGGGGAAGGATAAAAAAGAAAAGGAGAACTTAGGTTGTGAGGAGAGGTTGACTTTGCTGGGGGTATTGGAAATAAGTCTTGTTCGGGGATATGCAAACTATGGCCTGCGGGCCAAATGCAGCCTGCCACCTATTATTGCTAATAAAGTTTTATTGAAACACAGCCATATCCATCATTAACATATTGTCTATGGCTGCTTTTGTGGCTACAGCTGCAGAGTGAAATAATTACAACAGATCCTATCCGGCCCGCAAAGACTAAAATATTTACTATCTGGTTCTTTACAGAAAAAATTCGCCAACCCTTGGTCTAGTTATAGCTGCAATATGTGAGAGATATTAGACCTCAAGAAATGTAGAAAAGGATATTATAGGAAATTATGCTTGGGATTACCAATTGGATAGATCCCTGTGGACAGCCTTTGAAAGATTCCAGCAAAGATTTGAATTACTTTTAATTGCTGGACTGTTTCTTTGAATATATTTTCTCAGACTCTGCGCCATGAGGCAATCCCAATTAAATGTCCTTTGTGTATTGATCCCTTAGCATCTTTATTTACATTATTTCTCTCTCTTGAAATTTCCCCTCTAGCTTACTTTCATGTCTGGCTTATTCCTTTACATCCTTTCCTTCAAATTCCGACTCAAGTTTACTTTCCTTTGATAAGCTTTCTCTGTCCTTTATTGCCCACAGTAAGCTCTCACCTCACATGATAAAAGCTGCATTTAATCAGCACTCCCCCATTCAACCTTTACATACCGCTATGTATTTTTGGTTAATCTTTTCATGGTGTGAGGCTTTCTCCCTATGAAATCACAAGCTTATTGAAGTCAAGAACTGTGTCTTACGTATCTTTTCATCCCCCACAGCTTCTGGCAAAGGGAATTGCATAAAATTGTGCTTGATAAATTTGCTTATAATTAGTGAAAGCAGGAGAAATACAAGAAAACAGATTTTCCAACTTCCAAGCCCTATAGAAGTGCTATGCCCCAACACTGTGACATATTAATGTCTGGCTCAGTTTTTAAGCAACTGAATTTGTTAGGTAAAAGTCCCAAATCTTTTAATGAGAACATGAAGGTGATTGGGCTATGATGTCTGTCACCTTGTTGGCTGCTAGGCTTGATTTTGTGCTCCCTTGCTCCTGAACCTCTCCTGAAGCTGCCTGCCCAAAGAGAGGGGTAGGGGGTCTTCCATACAAGTGGCTAACAGGTATATCTAAAAGTGCTGCACATCACTAATCATCAAGGAAATGCAAATTAAAACTATAAGGATATATCACTTCTCACCTGTTAGAATGGCTACTATCAAAAAGACAAACGTTAACAAGCATTGACAAGAATATGGAAAAAAAGACAACTTTTGTACACAATTGGTGGGAATGTAGATTAGTACAGCCATTATGAAAAACAGTGTGGAGATGTTTCAAAAAATTAAAAATAGAACTACCATGTTTCAGTAATCCCACTACTGGGTACATATGCAAAGGAAATGAAATCAACATGTTGAGGGGATAGCAGCACTTCCATGTTTACTGCAGCACTATTCACAATCGCCGGGATTCGGAATCCACCTAAGTGTACATCAATACATGAATGAATGAAGAGAAATGTGGTATACATACACAACGGAGTACTATTCAGCCATAAAAAAGAAGAAATCCTGACATTTGTGACAACATGGATGAACCTGAAAGACATGATGTTAAATGAAATAAGCCAGCCAGAGGAAGACAAATACTGCATGGTCTCATTTAGACACAGAGTCTACTTCTATGTAATCTCATAGAAGTAGCCAGTAGAATGATGGTTACCAGGGAATAAGGTGGTTGGGAATAAGTTGAAAGCATCTACTGTACAACTGGACGACTATAGTTCATTACATATTGTATTCTTGAAAAATGCCGAGAGTGGATGTCAAGTGTTATCCCAAAAATAGCTCTGCAAGGTAATGCATACGTTAATTAGCTAAATTCAATCATTTCACAATGTATATATACTTCACATCATGTAGTACACAGTAAATACATACAATTTTATCTGTTAATTTAAAAAATTTAAAAAATAACCAAAGAGGGGCATCTGCTCAGATAGGACAGTTCTGTTGTCAAGTGTATAGTAGCCTTTTGTTAGAGCAATCGGTGATCATGAGAAGTGTAGGCTAATGTCCTAATTTTCTGTTTTACGACACGGTCTTCTGCTATTGTGCCATATATTTCTTTTTTATTTTAAAAAAACCTTTTTATTGAAGTATAGCATATATATAAATGCAAATAAGTGTATAGCTTGATGAATAACAAACTGAACACGTTTATGTAACCAGATCCCAGATAAATAGAACATTATCCATACCAAGAAATCCACAACATGCTCTCTTTCAGTCACTAGATCCCCTTGCTGCCCTGCAAGGGGACTGTTGCACTGGCCTGCAATAGCATTGACTAGCTTTTCCAGGTTTGATGCTTTACATAGGTGAAATCATACAGTATATACTTTTGTACCTGCCTTCTTTTATTTATGAGGTCAATTCACAGTATTGTGTGTAGTTGTGGGCTGTCATTCCCATTGCTTTGTAATGAATAAATCAATGGTAGCATATTTATATAGTGGAATACTATACATTTCATTTTCATTAACAACATCTTACATTGAAAACCTTGAGAGCTCAGCTGTTGAAGTCCAATGCTGCAATGATCAATGTTCTTCTCAAATCTTTAATTTCACAAAAGCTTAATGGCATCAGTGTCGTGCCTAAGGATAATATCTCAAGTACTATATCAGCTTCTGAGTTAGGAAAACCTGTTTTGCTTTATATCTGTTAAAGGTTTTGTAACAAAATAATAGTCTTTTAAATTCCATTGTTAAGCATCACTGTTATCTTAGAATCGTATTTATACAACAAACTTTTCAGAATAAAAACAGAGCAATCAAAAAAGAGCATTTATATTACATAGTCACTTGATTCATTACCTCTAAAATGTTCCTTCCCTTTGTGTTTTGCAAAGTTATGAAAATTTGTTACTTTAATACCAAAAACTCTACTAAATTTAATTTACTTTGAAATGTGTTTATCTCTCCCACCAAAACACACACACACACACACACAGCTCACTATCATTGACTGGGAGGTTTTACTTACAGATAACCACTGGACAGCTTAAGCCTCGTGATGACAGTCTTCTTTTGATGTGACAGGAATTACACCTGTTTGGATGAAATCCAAAACCCATATCATAGAAAAATTCACTATGTTATGGTACCCCTCTGTTAAAGTGCCTGCATAAAAGTGTCTTTTTTTTTTAAAAAAAAAAAGGTCCAGTTTATTGAGGCATAATTTACTTATAGTAAAATTCATCCTGTTCAGTCCACAGTTCTATAAGTTCTGATGAGCACATACAGTTTTGTAGCCATCACCACAGTCAAGATACACAACAGCCCATCATCCCCAAAAGTCCATTCATTCCCCTTCATAGTTAATCCTTACCCCAGACTCTATTCCCTGGCAACCACTGATTTCACATAAGCATATAAAATGTTTTCTTCTCTTCCTTTATTAGAGACAGATGAGTAGGGTGAGGTCTGACTCCTTGTTCCCTCTTGATAGGGTTTGACTGTGTCCTCACCCAAATCTCAACTTGAATTGTATCTCCCAGAATTCCCACTTGTTGTGGGAGGGACCCAGGGAGAGGTAATTGAATCATGGGGGCCAGTTTTTCCTGTGTTATTCTCCTGGTAGTGAATAAGCCTCATGAGATTTGATGGGTTTATCAGGGGATTTCTGCCTTTGCTTCTTCTTCATTTTTCTCTTGCTGCCACCATGTTAGAAGCTCCTTTTTCCTCCCGCCATGCTTCTGAGGCCTCCCCAGGCATATGGAACTGTAAGTCCAATTAAACCTCTTTTTCTTCCTAGTCTTGGTATATCTTTATCAGCAGCGTGAAAATGGACTAATACACCTCTCCTGCATCCAAGTGCAGCCTCCCCTGCCCCAGCCATGCTGGCCTCCTCAGTGCCTTGTCCTCTCCACACCTCCGCCCACAAGTCTCATGTCTGTTGAATACTTCACCTAGAACTCTCTTCTCTTCCTTCTGCACCTCATCAACTCTTACTCAACCCTGAGATCTCAGTGTCAACATAATTTCCTCAGAGAAACTTTCCTGATTAGATCAAATCCCTCTACTGTGCACCATGCATATATTGAGGCAGCAATTTTACATTTGTTTATGTAACATTTGATTCATGTCAATCTTCCCCATTTTTAAACTGTGAGCTTCATGAGGGCAGGAATTCTATGAGTTTTGCTCATTGTTTAATCCTGAGTGTGCAGCCCAGGAGGGTACTCAATGAAGACTCAGTAAATGCATATATGTTTCCAAGCCAGCATGGTTCTTGATGTTTACCTTTGACCCTTTAAAGTGTAAGATAAGGTCGATCTTATTGTTTCTGTTTTACTGACTTAATGATTTTAAACCACATCCATAAATTCTTTGACACTCCTCCCTCTAATAAAGAGTGGAGACTAATTCCCCTCACCTAGAGTGTGAGCTGACTCTGTGACTCACTTCTCATGAATTGAATGCAGCAGGAGTGATGTTAAAAGTCACTGTTCTTATCCGGGCTCGGTGGCTCACGCCTGCAATCCTAGCACTTTGGGAGGCCAAGGCGGGCGCATCACCTGAGGTCAGGAGTTCGAGGCCACCCTGGCCAACATGGTAAAATCCTGTCTCTAATAAAAATACAAAAATTAGCTGGGACTGGTGGCACGTGCCTGTAATCACAGCTGTTCCAGGAGGCCGAGGCGGGAGAATTGTTTGAACCCAGGAGGTGGAGGTTGCAGTGAGCCGATATTGTGCCACTGCACTCCAGCCTGGGCAATAGAACTATACTCCATCTCAAAAAATAAAAAAATAAAAAAATGCACTGTTCTCAGCCAGGCACGGTGGCTCACGCCTGTAATCCCAGCACTTTGGGAGGCTGAGGCGGGCGGATCGACTGAGGCCAGGAGTTTAAGACCACCCTGGCCAACGTGGTGAAACCTCGTCTCTACTACAAATACAAAAATTAGCTGCGCGTGGTCGCGGGTGCCTGTAATCCCAGTTACTCGGGAGGCTGAGGCAGGAGAATCGCTTGAACCTGGGAGGCGGAGGTTGCAGTGAGCCGAGATTGCCCCACTGCACTTCAGCCTAGGCGACAGTAAACTCTGTCTAAAAAGCAAAACAAAACAGGCATTGTTCTCTCTTGGGTCAGTCACTGTGGGGAAAGCCGGCTGTCATTTGAACACATCAAGCAGTCCTATGGAGACGCCCACAGAGCGAGGGACTGAAGCTTCCTGCCAGCAGCTATGTGAATGAGTGAAGTGGATCCTTCAGCCTCTCAGGTCTTCAGTATTTTGACTGCAACCTTATGAAAATCCCTGAGCCAGAACCACCCGGTGAAGTTATTTTCAGATTCCTGACCCATAGAAACTATGTGAGAGAATAAACGTTTGCTATTTCAAGCCACTAAATTTGGGGATAATTTGTTACACAATATAGAACTGAAAGAACCAATGAGGGAAGTATGGCAAATTTGAGAAACTTGTTTAAGGTCCCACAACTAGTAAATGGCAAATCTAGGATGCAAACACCAAGTCAGTGTGTCTCTAAAGCCCATGTTCTCTGTACCATGCCATACTTATGTTTTACTTAGTATGGAAGTACTAAGTATGGCATACTAAAGATGCTTAGTACGGCAAATGTAAAAGTCATTTCACTGTGCTATTATAAAATCTTTGCAGATTGGTTCATGTTACAGTGCCAGGAGGTTGCTTTCTGTATTTCCAAAGAAGCTGCTGACTGGAGGAATTTCTGAGAGAATGGTGAGTAAACCGGCAATTCTAATGAAGCATTTTAATTGTGCTTTACTATTTAAAGCATTTCCATGAAGATGTTTTGTTGGAAGAATAGATCAAATCAAGTTTGTTATGAGTTAGAAAAGAGATAACTTGAAAGTGACTTTTTTCTTCAGTTCATCATTATGGCATTGTAAGATAGTTTTCATAGTGTGAATTGATTATACTAGATTTCTCAGTTTTACATATATTTAATATTTATATGCATTAATATTATATATTATTTTAAAATATATTTAAATACTTATATTTTGCATTTATGCAGAAATTGCCAAAATTCAGTATTTTTCTTAGATTTCTTAGTTACCATTTCAAAGGCCCAAACTTTGGAGTAGTCAAAGATTTCTTAAACAAAACACAAGACACACCAAACTTAAAACTTGTATTCTCTACCACTACTCTGATCATACATGCCCTTTTTTGGACATATTCAATCATAATGGAACCTGGCAGCTTTTAACTAATGAGTGTTTTGATGTAGCTTCCAGTCATACCTAATGAGCCATTGTAAGCTATTTATATGTTTGGTGCTTAGTGGTTTTCTAATCTACCCTAATTAGACCTAATATCTTCATCCCATCACCCTGGAATAACTCATTTCCACTTTCTTCCCCTCTGTTTACCTAATCAAATTCATAAAATATTCCTTCCATCTAATCTTTCCATCTTTTTACTTTCTTTATTAAAGCATTTTCACTGGTTTCCTTTCTTACAAGTATTAGACTCTTTGAGATAACTTAAGTAGAGGAATTTCATGGCACACAAAAGTAGGAATATTGCTGGTCCTTGACAAGCTTTGGGATTGCAACCTGAAGAGATTGTCTCTGATTTCATCTTTCTATGTGTGCAGTAGGTTTAATCAAGGAGTTTTTATTCAGTGGCACAGAACATGGAACACTGGTTCTTTCAATAATTTGGCTTTTTTAGAGTCTCAACTCATCCTGGAGCTGGAAAAAAATTAATATTATGCCAAATAACAGCATTTGGGTCTCTTTGGCTAAATTAAGCCCATGCCAGTGACTGCTTTTAAAACTGGATTGTTGGCTGGGTGCAGCTCACACTTGAGGCCAGGAGTTTGAGGCCAGGATAGAAAACATGGTGAGACCCTCATCTCTACAAAGAATTAAAACATTAGCTAGGCATGGTGGTGTGCACTGAGGTGGAGGATCACTTGAGCCCAGAAGTTCAGCCTGCAGTTCAGCCGTGTTTGCGCTCCACTGCAATACAGGCTAGGTGACAGAGTCAGACCCTGTCTCAAAATTAAGGCTGGTGATATCTGTTGATTATGGGATTTTAGAGGAACCAATAAATAACTCTACTCCCATTGGGAGGCAGACAGGGGAGTCAAGCTGAGGGAGTTGGAAAAACTACAGTAACTCTGGATAATGCTTATGCTGAATAGCAGGCCTTAGAGTGCTAAATCGAACAGGCTGGTCCATGCTCCATCTCTAAGTCAGACCAAATGCAGTCATGGTCCTCAACAGCACTGACTCCTGTTCCAGGCCTATGACAGTAAAGCTGACCATGCTTCCCTTCTTTAACTAAGAGAAAGAAAGTGAATGTTGAGCCAAGCATGTGCTGTTCCTCCACCCAACCCAACAAGTAAGTCCCTTTGCCTTCCCTGGGGGGCAGCGAGTGTGACAAGAAGCAAAGAGGAATCTCAACCAAGTAGGACAAAATCAATCCAAATAAACATATATGAATATGTACGCACATGCTTGTATATGATTTTATAAGCAGCATAGTGAAATGTATAGAACAACACCAGGTAGGTATTTCACAAGATTACTTGGGTTAGGGGGTGGTGGCTGGGGCCCAACGTGAAGGGAGGAGCAGAAAAGAGTGGGGAGATAAGCAGAAAGGCAAAAGAAAACAAAGCACTGAAAAGTAGTATGTGTAGCATGATCACATAAATGTATGTATTATACACATACACATGTGTGTGCACACACACGCACACCATATTAAGGAATGATACTCCAAATCCTTAAACCAGTATGGAATGTCTAATACTTTATCAGAGTGGACACCAAAGAACTGAGGCAGAATCCCTGGAAGACCCTCTATTGAGCCAGGCATTAACCTGAATTGTGGGGTAGCCCAAAGGATATGGGGAGAGGAGCTGTAAGGCCAGGATGGCAGGAAAAGATGTGGGAAAGGATGGTGGCACTTGGGAGGCTCAAGACAGTAGCTATTTACAAAACCAATTCGGAAGTATGTCAATGTTTTCACAACATGTGCCGCTTTATCTGTGCATTCCAGCTGAATAACATACTTGCTGACTTACTCATAAGATCAAATTCTTAAAATATAACAGGAAAGTTTTCTTCTTGTACTAATATAATTATTTTAGTGTGGGACGACAGGCAGAACTCACATGAAGAAAACCTATAAATCCTGGGTGTTGGAGGAGCCACTTCAAAGACTCACTCAAATGACTAGAAAGTTGGTGCTTGGATATTGGTTGGAAATGTTGCCAGGACTGTGAATTGGGACCTTGGTTCCTCTCTACATGGGCCTCTCCTTGGGCTGCTTGAGCTTGCTTACAGCATGGTGGTTGGGTTCCAAAAGTAAGAGGTCAAGAGATGCAGGAGGTTCAATATTCCCATTCATAATCTAAATTACACAGTGTCACTTTCATTATAGTCTAATTGGGCAAGACTGTCTCAAGGGCTCGTTCAGGTTTAACAGAAGGGGACATAGACTCCACTGCTCTATGGGAGGAGTGTCTAGGTCATACTGTTAAGAAGACCGTGGTGGCAAGGGAAATATGGAGGAAAATAGTCTGCCAAAACACATTTCTGCGGCAACTGCAACATCCATAGTCCATGCTGGCATGGATCTCAAAGGTTTCTACTATTCCCATGATGCCACACTTAGGGCACAGACTAGCTAGTGTAACAAAGACTGGAGGAAGGGGGGTAAAGTTAAAAAAGTATAGTCAACCAAAGGAAGAAATAAAGCTAATATTAAGCTCTTAATAATGTGGCAGGCATTGTGCGAGGCACTTTGTATTAGAGTTCTCTAAGAGGGACAGAACTAATAGGAGATTATATATATATATATATATATATATATATATATATATATGAATAGATATAAATATAAAGGGGAGTTTTATATATATACATACACACATATATATATATAAAGGGGAATTTATTAAATATTGACTTACATGATCACAAGGTCCCACAATAGGCTGTCTGCAAGCTGAGGAGCAAGAAGAGCCAGTCTGAGTCCCAAAACTGAAGAACTTGGAGTCTGAGGCTCAAGGGTAGGAAGCATCCAGCATGTGAGAAAGATGTAGGCTGGGAGGCTGGGCCCGTCTGTCCTTTTCACATTTTTCTGCCTGCTTTACATTTGCTGGGAGCTGATTAGATTGTGTCCACCAGATTAAGAGTGGATCTGCCTTCCCCAGCCCACTGATTCAGATGTTAATCTCTTGGCAACACCCACACAGACACACCCAGGATTAATACTTTGTATCCTTCAATCCAATCAAATTGATACTCAGTATTAACCGTCATACACTTCTTACAAGATATCTTCATTAAATCTTCACCACAGGTATGTAAGGTAGGTACTATCATTGCCATTTCACAGATGAGGAAATAAAGGCAGAAGTATTTAGTAACTTGTCCAAAGCTACAAAACTGGTAACTGGTAGAGCCAGGATGGCAACACTGATCTGTTTGACTTCAAAGACTGTTTTTTTTCACTACACCGTGCTTCAAAGTGTAGAAGATAAACAGAATCTGTAAAATGTCCCTCTTTTAACTATGCACTTCATTCTATTTCGTCTGATACGTATATAAAAGATCTCTCTCTCTCTCTCTCATTTCTCAAAAGGGTTACAGTAAAATATTGCAAATAATAGAAATTTATTCCCCCAAATAACCAACAAAGTCTTCTCAAGGAGCACATTAGACAACTCCTTTCTCAATTCATGCCCAAGTTATCACTGGTTAATGCTCACATAGGAATTACTATCTGGAAGATTGGTAAGAACCTCAAAATAATTATTAAGACTAACATTGCAAATTAAATTGTAAGACGTATAATACAAATTAGAGGAATTGAGTATGGGAGTTTATTAAGTATAAAAAAGATTGGTAAATTGTGAAGAAAAAACAAGTGAACTCTCAAGAAGTTTGCATAAATATACTCTTCAGAAATGTATGATGATTAAATATACCATGGGAGTTCCCTGCTTAAAGAAAATAGACATTTCTCTTGTCGCAGCCAAGATTTCCCTATATTATAACACAGACAATGTAGTTCATAATGAGAAACCCCCATGAGTAGCTCATAGAGCACACCCAATCGGTAAGTAGGTGTATTTAGTTGAGGCACAAGAACGGTGGCTGCAGTGATCAGGGAGGTTCTCACCCAGATATCTCTTTATAATAAGATCTGCAATTGGTGATGGCAGGGATGAGGATCCCCCACCTCTTTTCCTTGTTGCTAAATACAAGCTTCCAAAAAAATGGTTGTGAATGACAGAGACTGTAAGAATTATGCCTATTTTACCATAGCATTAACCTAAGCAAAGCGTGATTCAACCACAATATGCCATCCATACATGGGACTACAGTGACGCTTTTAGCAAACATTTGGAAATAAAATTTCTTACTGAGAGATACTTTTCAAAATTAACAAATAATTGTTTAGCAACAGAGACATGCTAAGTCACCTGTAGAAGACAGAATGGTTTCAAAGCTGGTGGGACTCTGCAGTGATCTGGTATTTTAAAAAGTTGTGTCCTTCAGAATTTAAGTAGCATTGGAAGTATATATAAATGGAGTCACTGAGGCAAATGTTGGTTGGATCCATCCAATTACTGCTCAGAGAAAGGCAGCTTTAGTCAGGTTTTTCAACTGGTCTAGACCTATTAATTCCTTCATTTACTCACTGAACTTTATTGAGTCCTTACTACATCAGGCATTAGCCTACATGCTAGAGATACAGAGGCGAATAAGTCAAAATCCTCATGTTTATATTCTGGTGGGGAAGGCAGTCAATTAAAAAATAAACCATACACCAATAACATCAGGTTTGTGCTTCAAAAAATGCTTAACAAGGTAGGAAGATACAGTGAAGGAGGGAGGTCTTGGGGAGGAAATAAGGTATTATTTTAGATTGGGTGTCAAGGAAGGCACTGCTAAGAATATGATACTTAAGCAGAGATAGCTGCCTAAATTGAGGAAGAGAGCCATACGAAGATCAGAGTTAAAAAAGAGTTCTAAGCTGACAGAACAGGAAGTGGCAAGTTCAGAGGCTGGAATAAACTTGTGTGTTCAGGGAACAGAAAGGCCAGTTTGGCGTTTGTGTGTGTTGTTTGCCAAATGTTCTGGTTCTCCGTCCTTCTGGGCACAAGATAGGATTGCACCACTGGTTCTTCTGTGGATATATATAGGACAATGTGACTAGTTCTGGACAGAGTCATAAGCAAAAATAATATGTTCCATTTACAGACAGAGCCAATGTAAGACGTTCTAGAGCTCTTTTTCCCTCTCTGGTACAATCGATGATTGCTAATGCGTGATAGTAGCTGCTCCATCAGCCTAGATCTAGCAGTAAGGAAGGAAACAGAATCACCAGTTGCCTTCTAGTAGGCATGTAATTTGAGTAAGAACTATTTATATTGTGGTTGCTTTTGTTTTGTTTTGTTTGGAAATGGGCTCTCGCTTTATTGCCTAGGTTGGACTCAAAACTCCTGGGCTCAAGAGATCCTCCTGCTTCAGCCTCTTGAGTAGCTGCGACTACCGGCACACACCACCATACCTGACTGTATTGTTTTAAGCCTGTGAGATTTGGGGATATTTCAGTATGGTGTAACCTATCCAGACAGAAACAGTAAGTGTAACTGGTGGAATGTAAGATAGAGGGACTGGTAGACTATGAGATCTAAGGAATAGGTGGGGGTCAGGTCATGCTAAGCCTTGTAGACTATGACAAATTTGGATTGCATTCTGTATGAGGAAAAATCATTGGAGGACTTTGAGCAGGGGAACATGACATGATTTGCCTTTCAAAAGAATCAGTCACGTAGGGAAAACTTCTTATTCATAGGAAACACATACTGAGGTATTGAAAGATAAAGTATAATGCTTTCTACAACTTACTTTCAATTGGTTCAGTAAAATGTGTGCACAAACGGGCTAAAATCTAGATTACTTGGTGAATCTAGATGAAGGTTTCATTGTACTCTTTCACTTTTTTGTGGGTTTACATTTTTAAATAAAGTCAGGGTGAATCACTCTAGAGAACTATAAGACCATTATGAGCTAGTGCAGGTGAGATGAAGTGGTTTGGGCTGGAGTGGCAACGGTGGCAGTGGTGAGAAACGGGTGGATCTGAAACCCGTTTTGTATTTGAAGCCAGCAGGATTTGCTGATAGATTGGTTGTGGAGCATGAAGACAAGTCAATGTGTTTCTTAGGTTTTTGTCCTGAGCAGGTGGGAGGTGGGTGGTACCATTAACTGACATGGGGCGACAGTGGGAGGGCTAGGGTTAGGAAATGGGAAATAGCAATTCTATTTTGGGCACGTTAAGGGTGAGCATCCAAGTGGAGACTGGGTTGGCAGGTGGATAAATGAGTTGAGAATTCAAAGAGGTCTAGGCTGGAAATATATAATTTGGGATTATCAGCATCTATTGGCACCCAAGCCATGGATGGATAGGCTCTCCTAGGAAGCAAGTATAGGTAGAGGAGGGCCAGGACTATGCCATGGGGAACCGGAGCATGAATGGACTGGAAAGAGGACCATATATTTCATTTGATTTCTCTTGTTCTGATTCCACGCTTACTGAGCAAGCACCTGATTATTGTTTGACTTCCCATAGAGATCCACACATAAAGGAAAGATTGGCCAAATGGACTTGGAATATTCTAGTTCCTGGGAGAGTTCTCACTGTAAATAAATTTATCACATTCACAAGCTTAGCGTGAGTTAGCCCCTGAGACAAAGCCATAATCAGTGTGCTCACAAAAATCTGATGGTGAGTCTGCATAAGGGAGAGCCAGACCCTGCACTGTGGAAATTCCCCCGAGAATGAAGCACTGCTTGCTGGCACTCTTTCACAGCTCACACCTCTTTGCAGCCTGCCTAGTGAGAATGTTCTCATATTTCCAGAACTGGTGAGACAATCCTAAGCCAGGTGTAGCTAAGAGAATATTCCTTTTTTTCAGGTGTATATCTTTTATTGTCAAAGTTCTACTTATTTGTCAGGGTGTCTCACAGTTTTTCTTCCATGCTGATCTTGCATTTCCTTAGATCAGGGTCCTTATTACTTAATTACTATTTGGAGAGTATTCTCTATGTGCTTGCACTAGATCTATTTTAAAATCTTATTTCATTTTTATATAGGTAATATTCAATTGGTTCAAAAATCAAAATGACATTGAGAAATCTTCCTACCTCCTCCTGATTGATTGGTATCTCCTCCCCCACCCCTCCAAATCATTGCCTCTCTTTGTGAATCCATCTAGCTTTTAGGCTGTTAGCAATCTTTTGCTATGACAAAGTTGCAATTAATAACTATATATACATACATATACATGGTTTGTGAGCTGTAGTTTTTGTTTTCTCTGCTAAGCTGTGAAGATGAGAAAGACATATTCTACTTCTTTTGGGAGAGGAGAGGCAATTTCTGATAAAAGTTCAGGCTCAAACTGCATTCTTCTTCCCCTTCCCTTTTAGTCTGAAATGTGGATAACATGGCAATTCCTGTACAACATGATTAAATAGCATCCCTGGCTGAATCAGCTCAAGGATGTTCAAGTTTAACTATTGCTTTGAAAATAAAAATGGCTCATGCTGGCCCAATGAGAAAAAATAAGAAGGTCTATAAAGGTTATTGGAGAAAATGTGTTTGTGGGAGGTGGATCGACATGTAACTTAATAATAAAAAGAAACGCAGTTGAGAAGTTAATGCGTATTTGTCTTTTCCCTCCCATGGTGTAGCAGATTGTATTTTCCAAAGATAGCTGCCTCAATATATCCCATCCCACATGCTCTTATGATGTGACACTGACACTGTTCCCATTGAGTGGTGGGGCCTGCATTCTTCTCCTTTGAACCTCAGGTGATGCTTATGACTGCTCAAACAACAGAATGCAGTGAAAGTTGTCCAGTTAAGCCCAGTCAACCCCCAGAACCACAAGTAAATAACATAATGATTCAAAAAAACTAAGTTTTGGGATTATTCATTATGCAGCAGTAAAAAATAGAAACATGATCTTGATTTTGATTTTAACTGGCCTTTACATTTTCCTTGGTCTTGATTCTTTAATTTTCATTCAGATTTTACTGTAATTTTGTCTGTTCCTTTTCTTGGGTGGGGATGGTCTGTTCTTATTGCAGGTCACTTCACATCCTTTGTGGTAGAGGGTATAAGTATAATGTAATTACATTTTTAAAAGTGCTTTCCTATCTAACTCAGTGATGTAAACTCTCTAGTGTTATTCTGTAAATAAGGATAAATCCATGAAAGTTTTACCACCATTTTTGAGGGGTTTCTTTTAATGAAAAGGAAAAGGATTACTTTGTGTAGATCTGTTCTACACTTTCTGCTCCTCCCCAAAATAGATCCTTTGCCCATGAAAGTTTATAGAAATTATAATCTCATCTATGAGGACCAAATGACAGATTCATTCAACAAATAGGCCCTCAATAGGCATCTATTGTGTGTAAGATATTAGACCAAGTGCCAAACGTACAAAGACCCAGTCCTACCTCAACAGGGCTCCTGGACTAGTGACTATACCTATTAAATGCTTATCATATGCAAAGCACTGGGCATGTCTGGAAGTCATTAAATGCTTACAGTAATGGAGGAGTGTTTTAAACAACCACAAAAAAAGCAAAGTGACCAAATGACCTGAAAGGCAATTAAAAAAAAAATGAAAAAAATTATGCAGCAGTTTTAAAGTTCATTCATCCATGAATTCAGCAAAAGAGCTAATTTATTCTCTCCATATTCACAGAAACAAAATAATGCATCATATAGCATAAATGTTTAAAAAATCAGAATTACATTTAATATAAAAAATTTTGATATTATAGTTTTTAAAATACATTAGTCAACACTTATTCAACTATAATTAAAGTTTTTTTTCTTCAGTCAATCCCAAGTAAGAATCTGTTGAATAAGTAAACTGGAAACATGTATTTAAAGGAATGAATTAAAGATAACACTGTTTTGTTCAACAAGCACTTCTGAATACTTGGAGTAAATACAGCACTGTTTTGGGTATTACAGAGAACTGATAAAGGTAGAAAACACTGTCCTTGTCCATGATAAGATGCATCATATTATTTACATTGACAAGTTTTTAAAATATGAACATTTGTAAATGAAATAAATTAGAAATAAAAATTAAAAATAAAACAGAAATAAACATTAGAAATAAAAATTGTCAAATTATTTGTTACTGTGGAACTCTGGCTATGCACCAGATACAAGAAAAACCAGTAAATACATGACATATCCTTACAAGCTCTTGGGGTCAGGAGAAAATCAAAGTATTAATTGCATATCCTTTCTAGTATTAACCTTTTACTACAGAAATGAAAGAGTTAACAATGCACAGTTATATTTCAGGTAACATATATTCAAAGGTATATCAAAGGTGAAAATCTATCCAAGTTTTCCAAATGAAGTGGCAGTAAACCAATGACCACATAAAAGTAAAAATTAATTTTATGCTTTTTGAAAAAAAATTTGAGCCTTTTACTCACTGCTAATTTAATTTTATGCTTTTTGAAAAAAATAATTTGAGCCTTTTACTCAGCTTTACAAAGTATGAGTAGGGAAAATTAATGCAAATAATGTATTCAATATTAAAAACAATTAGAATAAGCCCACCCAAATCAGAGATTAAATGATTCTATGAACTAAACATGTAACGATGAAGGAGGGCTGGAGTGAAAAAGATACAGGAGAGTAAAAAGGAGCTATAAAGAAAAACCCTCCCCTAAACACATAGGCTAACACAGAGCTGAGACACAGAGGCATAAAATAGGGAAAAAACAGACACACTTAGCCAAATCTTGGCTTCCCCTCTAGATTTGTTCCATAAAGTAATTTAATATTTGTATCTGGTCTGGTGACCTTAGTGTGCTTCTTCTAAAGACTTTTAAAGTTACGCTATTTTCCTAAGTAGACTGAACTGACTTTAGAACCAGTGGTCACATGACTGCTTTACTTGGCTTGAGTTAGATGAAAAGTTTGGTTAATTAAAAACTTCTGATGTTATAGTTCATCTTCTGAATCTTGATTGTGAACTTTCTGAGGGTGTCTCTTAACAGTGATTACCATGTCAATGGTTAATATTTTTGTCAAACACTGAAGAACTGAAGTTAGTAGCTGGTATTTACCCATTACTGATTCCAAACCTGTCTGACTGCTTACCAAGGGTTGATTGGTTTGCAGTGCATGGACAGCTCTTATATATGTATGTGGAAAGCTGTACTTTCCTGTTTTAGATTTATAAAGGACTTTGGGAATGCCTAAAAGTGCATTAGCTATTATCATACTAACCATGGTTTCTTCTGATTGATGGCATTTTTTGGCATAATTGAGAAGATAGTAATGTAACAAGATCTCAAAATTACCACCTACTGGCAAAACACAACCAGCTGGCATAGATGAGGAAAGGTAACTCTGGGAAGTACCCATATTCGGTAACTTACAGCTCACTGGTAACATGCTTCCCTTTCTAGTAATATTTGTGACCTGTAAATTTTCGTAAGAAATTTCTATTCTATTTCCCCTTGTTGAATAAGCAGTGGAATTGTTCTTGAGTAATGGTTCATAATAATCAGTTAGCCTGTTTCTTTCCAAAGACAAACATGTCAGCGTTTCAACTGTTTGGAATGTATCTGTTGGTGTCAGTGTGGGGGTTGAATACGGAATATATGTTTCTAATTCTACATCTGGAATTACCAAATTAGAATGTACTTTTAAATATGTTTGAGTTTTTTCCAATGCATCTTTGTTCTCTGCAACTGTGTCCTGATAAGGCCTTTGTATTGAGCCATTACCAGGATCTGGTGCTTGATAACTTTCTCCACTGTTCTTATAAATAAAAAGACTTGAAGTGCCATTTTGGTCATTGGTTTGTGTCATGTAATTTAGATCAAGGTCTTTAAATAATTGCCGAAGCATTTTAAGTGCTCCATGTAAAGCATCCTCATGTTGTTCAATGAGACCATGCACTGGTCCACAAAGAACTATAGAGTGTGGTATAAATGCACATGTGCTTATCAAGCCTAGATGAACATATCTTTTGGATCTAAGGATAAGAGGTTTACAAAATTTCACCAAAGCAGTGTTAGGTATTTCACACTGCGAAAAGGCCTGTGGTGGTACAAATGGAGAAAGACCAATGATCCTCCGGATAAGAGAAACTTCTTCTGATGATAAACACTCAACCACTGATATGCCATTCACCCCTGCATAATAACTAACTAAATCTGGTTGTTTCACACTAGATATGAGCAATTTTACATTCTGACTATGTAGATGTTTCATTATTGCTTTTGTCTTTTCCATAATCCAAAATTGAGATGTCTGAAACTGTGCTTCTGAATTTAGAATAAACTCTGATCCAGAAGTGGAAAAAAGAGGCTGAATGGTTTCTGTTACTATCACCATTCGCATGTCACCATCTGCTGGGCGGTACACAGAAAAATCTTTCTGAAGCACAAGACCAGCTATGATCCTGGAATCTGAAACAGGAAGGCCAGTGACACCAACATTCAACTCTACAAAATGGTCATCCACTAACTCAAATACACCAATCCCACTTTTACAAGTCATACACTTGAAAAAGTAGTCACACATCAACTGTGAAATAAATTTATGATTATTTCTTCCCACTCTTCCACAAAAGTATGCTTCTAAGAGCAACTCTAAAGAGCTCCTACACAATGTTCTCTCTTTAGCAGACGAAAAGATAGACAAAAAGTGTCTACTTAGGTACTGGTCCATAATACCGTCTAATATTTGTGTCTGAAACGTTAGGAGAGCCTGGGAAATAAATTTCCACCGAGAACAATTTTTCCAATGCCTTCCATGGGTTTGAATGTTTTCACACATCAAAGGATCCTTTTCTCTGTCTGTGATTGCATGAAGTCCTCTAAGCAAATGGCAAAGAAAGATAATAAATGTTTTTGCACCATCTCCTGTTTTTTTGAGATGACTGGAAACACAGTCCACTATCATCCTGTACAAAAAAGAAATAAAGCAACTCATTTTCAGAAGGCTGGCTTCCCACATCTTAAAACCATGTTTACACAGCCATAAGCATAAAATGAGAATATTGTTCCTTGGATACATCCTTAGTTTTTTCCTTTCTTGGAAAAAACTCTGCTCTATTCCAAGATTCCACCGTTGGGTGGAGTGGGGAGAAGTGGTCTTGAGAATTGGTAAGATTTGGGGTGCAGGAGTGTTCCCTTGGGCAGGGCTCTAATTCCGAGCATACAGCGGTTTCACCCGAGGTCAGTCTTTCTAAGTACGCATCGCCTCAGGATGGGACAAGAGCTCCACAGAGGCTGCCTGGGGTGCCCGGCTACGGGTTAGCGTGTGGGACGCGGGTACCTGGCTATGGGATGCTCTAAGTGTAGCGCCTCCAGGAGGCGGCCTCCATTCCGGCTGAGAAGCACCTCGCCAGTGGGCTTCGTACACAAAACTTGCCGTCCCTCGGGCCCCACGCAGCAGCTCACGATGGCTTCCAGCACCTCGGCCACCTGCAACGCCGCCTTCACAGACCCTGCAGCGGCCATAGAACTTAACATATCTGGGCCGCTTCCCCTTTTTGACCAGCTTGCAGAACACCCGGGCCGACCGAAAACAGGGGTGGGAACGGCCGGAAACGGAATAGGCGGGGAGAAAACCCGGAAGCCAGGAGTCGAAGCCGGGGTAGCACGGCTTCTTGGTTGGGCGAGAGGGCTGCCCTTCTGTCCGCCTGGTGGAAAAGCCCTGCAGCTTTGCCAGGTGGGGTGAGCTGGCCCGTTGTACGCGAAGGCAGAAAAAACAGACTAGGATTTCCAGCAGCTGTGCCTGGAGCGGCAACCCTAAGCCCCTCCCCGGCTCCCTAGGTGAATTCATCTCCCTCCAGTGGCGTCCGCTGCCCCCAAATCCCTTAGTCTCCCGAGAAACTTTCTTCCTAAGTCAACACGGTAGTGGGGCCTGCGTGAAGGAGAGGGCACCCCGGTTGGAACTCTGCTGGCTTTCATCCCCTGCCAGAAGCTGCTTTTTCCGGGGCAAAACCTCTGCCTTGGATTCACGCATGTTCCTGTCCACATTCCCCACGAGTTGCTCTCCTTACCATAACGGAAATAATTTGTAGATGCAGGACAGGTGAGGAGAGCCTGGCCACAGCCATGAATTGCAGGCTTTATGTCTGCTGCAGAGGCTTTACCACATTTCCTAGACTCAGGTATCACAATAAAACTCTAGACACCACAAATATATTAAGCAGAAATGATGCGAAGTCTCTATTTTTTGAGATGGACTCCCGCTCTGTCGCCCAGGCTGGAGTGCAGTGGCGCAATCTCGGCTGACTGCAACCTCCGCCTCCCGGGCTCAAGCGATTCCCGTGCCTCAGCCTCTCAAGTAGCTGGGATTACAGGCATACGCCACTGTGCCCCGCCAATATTTGTATTTTTAGTAGAGATGGGGATGTCACCATGTTGACCAGGCTGGTCTCGAACTCATGACCTGAATGATCCACCTGCCACGGCCTTTCAGAGTGTTGGGATTACAGGCATGAGCCGCTGTGCAGATTTAAATCCATTAATCACGTCGGTGATCAACAGTATGCTTTAAAACACATGGCCAAGGATTATTGTATATAACCCAAAGACAGAAAATACTGTCTCTTATAACATTTTTTTTGTTTTTTAAGAGATGAAGTTTCACTCTGCCGCCCAGGCTGGAGTGCAGTGGCGAGATCATAGCTTACTGCAGCTCCGCATTCCTGAGCTCGTGATCCTCCTGTCTTAGCCTTCAAGTCGCTTTGTGCCTCACTACGCCTGGTTATTTTCTCTTTTAGTAGAGACAGGGTCTCCCTGTGTTGCCCAGGCTGATCTTGAATTCCTGGCCTCAAGTGATCCTCCCAACTTGGCCTTCCAAAGTTTTAGGATTACAGGCATGAGCCACCTTGCCTGGCCTAAAACACAGGCACTTGAGAGCATGGGCTTTGGATTCAGACCTGGATTTGCTCTGTCATTTCCTTACCTGTGGCATTCACCAAGTAACCTCTTTGATCTCTGCTTTTCTCATCTTTAAAAACAATGGGCCTGCCGCAGTGGCTCATGGCTGTAATTCCAGGACTTTGGGAGGCCGAGGTGGGAGATCACAGGAGGCCGAGAGTTCAAGACCAGCATGGCCAACATAGCAAAATCCCGTCTCTACTAAAAATACAAAAATTAGCTGGGCATGGTGGTGCATGCTTGTAATCCCAGCTACTCTGGAGGCTGAGGTATGAGAATAATTTGAACTCGGGAAGGGAGGTTGCAGTGAGCCAAGATTGCACCACTGCACTCCAGCCTGGGCGACAGAGCGAGACCTTGTCTCAAAACAAAACAATCCCCGCCAAAAAAACCAGTGGAGATAACATATACAAAATAAAAATCTCAAGAGGTTTTGAGTAGGTGGAGAATGTTCACTAAACACTTTGCATAGTGCCTGGCATAGTTAGCACTCAACAGATATTTATATTACACCTGTTAGAGGAAAAGGGTCCCAATCCAGACCCCAAGAGAGGGTTCTTGGATCTCATGCAAGAAAGAATTCAGGACGAGTCCATAAAGTGAAAGCAAGTTTATTAAGAAAGAGGAATAAAAGAATGGTTACTCCATAGGCAAAGCAGCCCCAAGGGCTGCTGGTTGCCGATTTTTATGGTTATTTCTTGATGATATGCTAAACAAGGAGTGGATTATTTATGCCTCCCCTCTTTAGGCCATATAGGGTAACTTCCTGACATTGCCATGGCATTTGTAAACTGTCTTTGGTGCTGGTGGGAGTATAGCAGTGAGGACAACCAGAGGTCACTCTCGTGGCCATCTTGGTTTTGGTGGGTTTTGGCTGGCTTCTTTACTGCAACCTGTTTTATCAGCAAGGTCTTTATGACCTGTATCTTGTGCCAACCTCCTATCTCATCCTGTGACTTAGAATGCCTTAATCATCTGGGAATGCAGCCTAGATCTTAGCCTCATTTTACCCAGCTCCTATTCAAGATGGAGTTGCTCTGGTTCAGATGCCTCTGACGCACCCACCAAATTACTGGAGTTGCTCTGGTTCAGATGCCTCTGACGCACCCACCAAATTACTGTGGTAGGTCACCACTCTCCTGGTTTATTATTCCCACAAGTGATATTTTGTGAGATGCAGAAGATTCAACTAGCATAATGGCACAACATACATCATCTAGAGTCGAAGCATGCCAGTATTAGCAAGAAAATGATCTTGTAGATGTTTCACGAGGTTGGACAATGAGGGGCCGTTTTCCTTAATCCTTATTGCTATGAACAAGATAGGAGGAACCGGCAGGCCCTCCCATCTTTTTCTCCCCAATTAATAAAACCAAACCAAATGACAGCCAGAAGCAACTGGACCCTGAGCAGAGAGCAAGAATGGGAAGAAAGGAGGGTGGGGGAAAACCAGAGAGGAATGATGTCTCGGAACTCATCTGATGTTGACTCAGTATGGACTAATAGGTGATCTGAGGGGGGAAAAAAAAACCCTTTCATATGGATTTCGTATATGTTTAATAGTAGGGTTTTTTTGTGGTGCTACTCATAACAAAGGGGTTACATTACTCAATATAGATTCAAGCAGTGGATTATATTCCTGACATTTAGAAGTGAAGTGCTATTAGAGTTCTATTTAAGTGTACCACGGAGATACAGATTCAAACTTGTGCTTTTACTCTTAAAGTAAGAGTCGGCTACCACTCTTACTCCGCAGCTTTTGGAGACTTTCAACCTCTCTGAGCCTCAGCATCTTCATGTATAAAATCTGGCTAACGTCCACCTAAGGTTCTCATAGAGGATTCGAGAAGAATGAATATAAGGCACCAAGCAAAGCATACTTCAGGGATTCTCACTGTTGAATCCCTTTCAAGCCCTTTGCCATCCTTTGCAGCTATCCCTATCCCCACAAAAGGGGGGATTAAAACAAATTAGCAATAATTTAGTCATCATATTGTATTAAAAGTCACTTGATCACCGTTTGCTCTTTTTAAAAATTTTATTTAGAAGCCTACTTGTAGAAGTTAGCATAATTTTACAGATTATTAGAAAAATTCTTTTCTTTCTGCAAACAGTTATAATAGGTTAGGAATAATAGATTAGAAATGTACTACATTACAAAACAGTGGCCTATAACTATCTGTACATTTACTGTGCACCTTAAGGAAAAGAATTTGACAGTGTGCTGTACTTACACTGCAGGTAACATATTTTTATTCTATCACACAAAACTGACCAGTGGTAGTGCTTGAATTTATGAATGGCCATTAAACAGAACATTTAAACTCAGATGTATATTTAGCATGCTAAAAAGTGAAAAAAATTTCAACTGAAGTTCTGTGGCTCATCAGTTCAAATGTTTCATGGCATTTTTTTTCTTTAAGTGAAAAATTTTGATACTGTAAAACAGTTTTACATAATAAATGCAAAAAGATAACATTTTCTAAATTTTTAGAAAGAATATTCACATTCATTTTGTCATGGGTTTCACGTGGCTCTTCTAAATATATTAATCATATTAATAAGACACTGGTCCTATACAATTTCAACAGTCCATCTTCAATTAAAAACTAACAAAAATAAACAGTATGTAAAGAGTAACAAAAAGTAAATTAAATATACTAAACTCACACAACAGGTAGAATAAAATGAAACCAAATTACATAATGGCAGGTTATACATTTTAAAGAATCTCTTTCCACTTAGTCAAATAAGATAGAAATTGAAATGTAAACTTACTGATTTCTGTGGGATTTTCCCCACTGGTTCAAATTGGAAAATTTGATATAAATCTAATATTTTATTTCTGTACATTTAATATGATTCAATATAATCTGCAGTCTCATGTATGGCTTATCAATAATGCCATCATCACTGTATGTCAAACAACCTCACTGCTTACTAGAAATGCTAAACACTGGAAAAAATGGAATTTTATACATTTGTTTTCTTAAATTTTGACAGATATTCTTCAGAAAGTTAAAACTGCCTTCCACAAAATTTTGTGTGTATATGGCACAAGGTGACAGCCAAAAAGTGTGATTCCATCGAAAAGGCACTGTTAACAATACTCAGAATAATCTGACAAGTCTACATCAATGTCTGAGTAAAGAATAGGTAAATAGACAAACCCCTATAAAAGATAGTATTATTGTTTAAATATACTATAGCTATATAAAAAGAAAGTAACACACAGAAATGACCCTTTTATGACAAGCCTATAAACACCTTGAATCACATTATAGTTCTGTAACACAAAAAATGACAAAAAATATTTTCTTAAAGGCACAAAAGCATGAATATTAAATGAGAGTTGTATTTTACAAGGCCAACTTTTCAATGGAATGCGGTTACCAACTGAGCTGTGACAAAGAGTACACTGTACCTTTATAAGTGATATAAAACAAAAAAGTACTAACATGAAATACAAATAAAATATCTATTGCTGTAACTTAACATTTCACATGCCCTATTTATTGTTGTTGTTTTTTTTTTTTTTTTACATGTCCTGGGCCAGCTACATTTTACTAAATGGTGGATGATGGCATAGTACATTTAACAGCTAAAAAGAAAATGCACATGTGAATAATTATTACTCAATTAAATTTTCATGTAGGAAAATAAAATCTTGGTAAATGAAAAAAACTGGTCATAAGGTCATAAATCCTAGAAACCCTCATGAGGCTCTCAGACAACTGGGAACCGTTTACGGTCCATGTGTGAAGGAAGATTAATTTCAGGTAAATAACATTCAAAGTCAATTACATATATGGCTACAAAGTTAGTAATTATGTGTTATAAAGATTCATATAACTAAGCCTAGTACAAGCACTGATCTAAAATTAAGCCACCAATTCCTGAGTTTTGTGTTCAGTTCATAGAAAGAGACTCATACAACTAAAAGCATAATAAGAGGACTATTAGATTAGATGCATGCTTTTAGTGTATAAAGAACAGTCATGAATAACTCTGCTCTTTCTTAAGAAATAGTTTTTGACTCTTTGGGTAAGAACCCATAACATTTGCTCTAAAAAGAAATTTTAAAAATAAAGAACACAACTACCTATTTAGTCTTAGAAGATACCCATACAAATAAAATATTATTTGGACCAAATGAAAACAACATACACGTGGATAAGACCAAAGTCCTAAGAGGTGGGTCACCAGTACAAAATGTTAACAAGGTTTACTGATGAAATGATTTTTGTGATAAGCCAATCAATTTGTATGTAATTAACTAATTTAAACCATAAAAAAGATCAAATTGTACAATATTTACAGAATATCATATATCAATGAATAGGCAGAGTGTAACAGAATGTGAATACAAAAATTATATTGACAAATATAAAATATAACCAAAAACCCATTTGTTCTAATATCATGAAAATACTGGGTATAGGTAGATCTTATTTAAGCTTTTATCAATTTAAAACATCATTTCACATGTACATATGGAATACAGCATTATTTTGCCAAGAAAACATGGGAAATGGTTCTTCACAGAAACCTAAGGATACTTAAGATAGCTATATTGGTTAGGGAAAAAAGCAGGCTCTTTTTATCATTTTGATTCTCATAATTTACCAATCAATGTATTTATTTACCAATCTTGTATTTATCATGGCATAAACGATTATAATTTTACTATTTCACAGCCTCCTCCTACTGAAAGGCAAATGTGGTCAGGGCAATTATTCTCTCTGACCTTCATTTTCATTAAAAAAACATTTCAAAATCTATGCTTTCAGGATTCTAAGACATATTTTAGAACAACATATTCCTAAACTGAACTACCTTGGCAAAAATTGCTTTCAAGGAATATAAATATTTACGTAAAAACACAAAATCAAAATATTAAACTGAAGAAACAAACAAAAAAATTTGCCTTAGCCTGAACAATAGGAATCTTAAAGAATTGTGGTTTTGCCACAGAAAGAAGTTACTAAGAAGAGAGGAGGATAATAAAAAAATTAAACTTCAGAACTTGATACTCTTCGTAGATACTCAACTTATTACACGTTTTACAGAAACCAATTTTAATGCACACATAAAGGCCACCACAAAGTGTCTTTTCTTATTGCCTCTTTTTGGCTTTTGAAGTAAAATACTGGTTATATTTTTTTATATTCTACTTATTCACTGAACACACTGGAGTCTAAAGCTAAAATAAGTTTTCATAATGAAAAAACATAAATTATCAGCACTTCAAATGCTCTATAAACATCTCTAGAATTTGGCCTATGTTATGAACCAGCTGACTTAAGAAAAACAAAAATAAGACAAAAGGACAGCAATCAATTTTGACCACACTTTTTTCAGCAAGTGCTTAAGGTGGTATTATAATCAATCCAATTAATTGCACACCAGTGTTTTTATACTGATATACACGTAAGTATATATATTTACCTGCATCTACAAATATTAAATTCTAGGGGTTAAAAAAAACTTATGTAAACTTTTAAAAAAGCAATTTGCCATTTATCTCTCTCGATGTATTCATTTTGACCATTCATACTTTTTCTTTCTTTCTAAGAAGATAATTGAGCTGAGTGCTTTGCAAATGATTTTAACAGTAGTGTATTGAATTAATTATGTCTATTATTCCATCATTTCTCAATCTGTAATTCCTTACTGATAAAACTTTTGTGCCTGTTTTATGAAGAAAATAGATTACATATATTTATAAGATTGATAGCATTTTTTGTTATGAACAATGTTAACATTATATCTCAGAACATACTATAGAATACAAAGACTACTGTCAGGTAGGAGTACATAAGAGACAATTGTGTATACATGTGGGTTTATTATACTCATATGTAGACACATTCTCACAAAAGCTAGAAATGTCCTGGCACTTAACACATAGCTCACTTTAATAATCAAATAGGATAGCTCTTGTTTCAGTGTGAAGATAAAAGATACGAAAAGTCAATACCTCTACATTTATCTCCTAGGTTTTTTTGTTTTCGGAATATTGTGATTTTTAATAAAGACCAAACCAACTTGAACACTGGTCCCAGGCCAAATCAGATCTTTCTAGTTCACTGATTCAATGGTAGAGAACTTCTACTTGAACATGAAGTTTATTATGACTTGAAGCAAAATCAGGAGGAAAATGATGAAGTAGTCTTTTTGTTGCAGAAAATAATCCGTGGCCGGTGTGCTTGAAACTAAATGATTTCGAAGAGCCATAATATTTCTATAAAAATAAGCAACAACAAATTTTGTAATGATTTGCCAGAAATGTTGGCATAGAGCCCACAATTTGATATTAAACAGTCACAGAGCATTTAATGTTAATAATTTTTAGTTGCTGGGTCATGGGGTGGTATGTAGGGGTGGGGGGGGGCGGGGTCTGGGACTGCAAAGAGGAATACTTAAGGGCTCAGGGAGTAAATATTTACCCAATGTTATGGATGTATTTCAATATTTCAACTGATGCATTCCAATGAAATAACAGCCATGCACAGAGGGGACTATAGAGGCCTTTGTTAACTGACTTTCTCAGAAACAATCCCACCTCCACATGCAACCCAGCTACATTCCTAGCATGCTATAGGAGTAAAATAAAGTGATTCCAATTCTACCCTTACAGAGAAAAAACAACCTCTCCTTCCTTCCCAAGTATTTTAGTGCTGGAGGAATTTCGTAAGTGTCAAACATCAGGTGATAGAGGCTAAACATTGTATTTTAGCTTAGCTAAATGTTATAAAAATATGAAGTCTGCATATGATTTCCCATATAACAGGATTCTTAACTACTCCTTGGTCTCAAATGAATAGTCAGTGTCATTATATTATTACCTTTTAATTTCTTCCTGTGTTTGTTTTATAGATTCGATGGAACTCTGAATGTCTCCCAGTTCTATTCCTTTCTTTCTTCTTGTACTTGGTTTTACTGATTGAGCTAAAAAGACATTTAGAATGAAGTTGAAACTATAAAAATAATCTACAGTTCAATTTAATGTGTCTCATGTAATAAAAATTTTCCTGGGCATTTGTTTTTGTAGCCTAGAGATTAGCATAGTAATATGAATACTCTGCACTTTTGAAGTTTCAAACACATCATTGCAATACTAGAACACTACAAATATATTTAAAGTACTACACATTAGTTGAATTTTGGATGGCACCAGTTTTTTTAACTAATTAAAACAGAAATAATTCATTAGAAATACATATTAACTTGAGGAAGGTATTACTCTCTTCTGTTCCTTGCCCATTTGCCTACCTCTGAAGTCAGCTTCTTGAGCCCTTTTTTCCAATTTTTTATTGTGAGTGTTTAGTTACCTAAACTTTAAATCCCTTTCGACACCACTTCTGCAAATTTTTACTGCCAATCAGCAAGCTGTACATGTTTTTCCAAATTCCCTACATATGCATTCCTTCCTTTCCATTTTTGTTCAGATCCTACTTAACCTCTCTGCAAGTGTCAGCTTTCTCATTTTAAAAATAGGGATAATAATACCAGACTTCACAGGGTTGTTGTAAGGTGTATTTAACATACAGTCTGGCACAAATTAATTACTCAATAAATGTCTGCTGATACATTATAGTAATATAGTAAAGTGGATGACAGGGTGAATTAAGGAGCCAAAAAATCTGCATATATAACATACATATACCTACTTATGGGGTATGTGACCTTAGGCAGGTTAACTTGTGTCTCAGTTTCTTTTCTCGTAAAATGGGAATAACAACAATACAACCAATACTCTCTTCTAACACACTGGTATGCCACATGACTCCTGCTTTTAAACCTTTATTCGGTTCATTCCTCTAACTACTCTAGTATGTTACCCCTACCCCACTCTCCAAGCCTAGATTGCTATAATCCATTAGAAATCTTAATAATTCATCAGGATTCTAAGAACTTTCCCTCAAACTGAATTGAGCTCCCTCTCCTTTAAACTCTTTATCACTTGTCATCTAATTTCTTAGTAATCTACCATTTATTCACTTCTAGTGTTATCTTTATAGGTTAAAATGAGCTCCCTAGTTCAGTGTAAACTCAGTAGAGATTATGGCTTAAAGTTTTTTTTTTTTTGTCATGTCACAAACATCACTTTAATCCTTTCATGATTATATCTCAATGTAGTTCAAGATACTTTACACATTATCTGACTCGAATAAGAATGGAGTACAATTTAAGCTAGCAGTTGCTAAGTTTTATATTTTTATTGTCTGTCACTTCCAAACACTACAGTAATTTATTCTGGAAATGAAAAACATTTTTGAAGCATGGAACTGAGTTCAAAGCTCAAAAAATGCTTCTGAATTCAATCTAGGGAACCATCAGCAATTTTTCAGAGGTTAACAAGGCATAAGAGGTAGCTACTACTAGAGTGTGGTTCTTTTTTTTTTTTTTTTTTTTTTGAGACAGGGTCTCACTTTGTCACCCAGGCTGGAGTGCAGTAGTGTGATCTCGGTTCAGTGCATCTTCCATCTCCGGGGTTCAAGCAATTCTCGTGTCTCAGCCTCCCAAGTAGCTGGGATTACAGGTGTGCACCACCGCACCTGGCTAATTTTTTCATATTTTTAGTAGAGACGGGGTTTCCCCATGTTAGCCAGGCTGGTCTTGAACTTTTGGCCTCAAGTGATCTGCCCACCTCGGCGTCCCAAAGTACTGGGATTACAGGCATGAGCCACCACACCCTGCCTAGAGTGTGGTTTTTATTTAGATGTCTCCCCTTTTTCATTTTCTGTTTCTTTACCTTGCGTCCTGGTCTCACAACTTATCTATGATCTAGAATTGCTTTTGTATCTCAACCCTGCCCCGACCAAAACTCACATAACTTGAGTTAATATGAAAAACCATATTCATATCAAATTGTGTAGTAATTAAAAAGTTAGACTCTCATTAGTCTGCAATAAATATTTTTACCTTCACTTCCAGAGGAGTCTTGAATGTCAGGTTCTGGGGAGGAATAGCCTTTTGCTACTTTCTTCTGTTGCCTGGTTGGCTTATGTTTCATTTTGGGGACGCTAACCTAAAGAAAAAAATAACTATTTTGTGAATTTGCACTGTATTTTGGACTAAAGACCAACTGTGTACAATTGTCAAAATTATCTGCACATAGGCATGATATTCAGAAATAAAGACAATGATGAAATAGTCTAATTCAAATTTAACAAATGTGATGCACTTATGCAATCAAATGATCTTATTTTAATAGGAAGTACTTTGGCACAAATGTCAAAAAGTAAAATACACAATGAAGAGTATACCCAGTCTCTCTCCCACTAAATAGGTACCCATCACTATTAGTTTATATCCAGGGATATTATTATGTATACATAAACAAATATGAATATAGATCCCCCTACCTCTGACTGCACCAGCTATTATTATTCTCTAGTAGAATGTTAAATAATAGAATGTTAAATAATAGTGTGTATAAATCATATTTATTTTGTTCCCAATGTTAGAAACATTCCCACTGAACAATGCTGGGTTTCCAGTAAAACGGTTTATTTACTTTTAATCACATCTGGGTAGTACAGAAAGTATCTTATAATAAATAAAAATGATACCATTATTTTGTAGAGCATTATTTAAACTTACTGAAAGGATTGAAGTGGATGCACAAGATTCAAAAGTATATGAAACCATCAACTATGACTAAATTTTCCTTAGAATAATAACTTTGGACTCTATCCTATTAATAGATTTGTAATTTTGGTGTTCAGTATTAAACTTAAAAACCTAAATGCAAGAGAAGAAACTAGAATCAGAAAGACAAGATGTATTAGTCAGTTTTTATGCTCCTGATAAAGACATTCCCGAGACTGGGATGAAAAGGAGGTTTAATTTGACTTATGGTTCCACATGTCTGCAGAGGTCGCAAAATCATGGCAGATGGCAAAAGGCACTTCTTACATTGTGGCAGCAAGAGAGAATGAGGAAGATGCAAAAGTGGAAACCTCTGATAAAACCATCAGATCTCGTGAGACTTATTCACTACCACGAGAACAATATGGGGGAAACTGCCCCTATGATTCAAATGATCTCCCACTAAGTCCCTCCCACAACACGTGGTAATTATGGGAGTACAATTCAAGGTGAGATCCCACCAAGTCCCTCCCACAACACGTGGGAATTATGGGAGTACAATTCAAGATGAGATTTGGGTGAGGACACAGAGCCAAATCGTATCATTCTACCCTGGCCCCTCCAAATCTCATGTCCTCACATCTCAAAACCAATCATGCCTTCCCAACAGTCCCCCAAAGTCTTAATTCATTTCAGCATTAACCCAAAAGTCCACAGTCCAAAATCTCATCTGAGACAAGGCAAGTCCCTTCTGCCTATGAGCCTGTAAAATGAAAAGCAAGCTAGTTACTTTCTAGATACAATGGGGGTACAGGCATTGGGTAAATACAACTGTTCCAAATGGGAGAAATTTGGAAACAAAGGGGTCATAGGGCCCATGCAAGTCTGAGATCCAGTGGGGCAGTCAAATTTTAAAGCTCCAAAATTTTAAAGCTCCAAAATGATCTCCTTTGACTCCACGTTTCATATCCAGATCATGCTGATGCAAGAGGTAGGTTCCCATAGTCTTGGGCAGCTCCACCCTTGTGGCTCTGCAGGGTATCCCCTCCTGGCTGCTTTCATGGGCTGGCGCTGAGTGTCTGCGGCTTTTCCAGGTGCACAGTGCAAGCTGTTGGTGGATCTACCATTCTGGGGTCTAGAGGACGGTGGCCCGCTTCTCACAGCTCCACTAGGCAGTGCCCCAGTAGGGACTCTGTGGGGGGCTCCGACCCCAGATTTCCCTTCTGCACTGTGCTAGCAGAGGTTCTTCATGAGGGCCGTGCCCCTGCAGCAATCTTTTTCCTGGGTATCCAGGCGTTTCCATACATCTTCTGAAATCGAGGTGGAGGTTCCCAAACCTCAATTCTTGACTTCTGTGCACCACAGGCTCAACACCATGTGGAAGCTGCCAAGGTTTGGGGCTTGCACCCTCTGAAACCATGGGCAGAGCTGTAACTTGGCCCCTTTTAGCAATGGCTGAAGCGGCTGGGACGTAGGGCACCAAGTCCCTAGGCTGCACACAGCATGGGAACCCTGGGCCCAGCCCATGAAACCATTTTTTCCTCCTAGGCTTCCAGGTTGGTGAAGGGTGGGGCTGCCATGAAGACCTGTGACATGCCCTGGAGACATTTTCCCCATTTTCTTGGGGATTAACATTCGGCTCCTTGTTACTAATGCAAATTTCTGCAGCCAGCTGAATTTCTCCTGAAAAAATGGGTTTTTCTTTTCTACTGCATCGTCAGGCTGCAAATTTTCCAAACTTCTATGTTCTGTTTCCCTTTTAAAACAGACTGCTTTTAACAGCACCCAAGTCACCTCTTCAATGTCTTGCTGCTTAGAAATTTCTTCTGCCAGATACCCTAAATCATCTCCTTCAGGTTCAAAGTTCCACAAATCTCTATGTCAGGGACAAAATGCCACCAGCCTCTTTGCTAAAGCATAACAAGAGTCACCTTTGCTCCAGTTCCCAACAAGTTCCTCATCTCCATCTGAGACCACCTCAGCCTGGACCTTGTTTTTCACATCACTATCAACATTTTTGTCAAAGCCAGTCAACAAGTCTCTAGGAGGTTCCAAACTTTCCCACATTTTCCTGTCTTCTTCTGAGCCCTCCAAACTGTTGCAACCTCTGCCTGATACCCAGTTCCAAAGTCGCTTCCACATTTCTGGGTATCTTTTCAGCAGCATCCCACTCTAATTTACTATATTAGTCCATATTTACGCTGCTGATAAAGACATACCCGAGATGGGAAGAAAAGGAGGCTTAAATTTGATGTTCAGTTCCACATGACTTGGGAGGTCTATAATCATGGCAGAGGGTGAAAGGCCCCCTTTCTTACATGGCAGCAGCAAAAGAGAATGAGAAAGATGCAAAAGCGGAAACCCCTGATAAAACCAGCAGATCTCATGAGACTTATTCACTACCATGAGAACAGCATGGGGGAAACCACCCCCTTGATTCAAATTATCTCCCTCCGGGTCCCTCCCACAGCATGTGGAAATTATGGGAGTACAATTCAAGATGAGATTTGGATGGGAACATAGAGCCAAACCCTATCACAAGGTAATGTTCATGCTTGGAAAAACAGAGAACCAGTGGTCAACAACTCGTTCTTTCTTGTTCAGCATTGTAACAAGAAGTATTCTCAATTACTTATTTCTTGAAATAATTTTGCAAAATCTTATTCAGGTATTTAAAATTAAAATTTCTATAATATGTAATAAGCAGGCAGGTTTGGCCCATACTCCTACTTCAAATGCTGGAGGCTTAAAATTTTGTAACATTTAAAATAGAAATCCACATTTCTAGAGTAGGTTCAAATTGGAGACTGATGAACACTAGTGAGAAGCTTATTTAAAATAACAAGGCAGAGACACAACAAAAAAAATTTCAGGCCAATATTCCTGATGAACATCGATGCAAAAATCCTCAATAAAATACCGTCAAACCGAATCCAGCACATCAAAAAGCTGATCCACCAAGATCAAGTCGGTTTCATCCTTGGGATGCAAGGCGGGTTCAACATATGCAAATCAATAAACGTAATCCATCACATAAACAGAACCAATGACAAAAACCACATGATTATCTCAACAGATGCCGAAAAGGCCTTTAATAAAATTCAACACCCTTCATGCTAAAAACTCTCAATAAAGTAGTTATCTATGGAACGTATCTCAAAATAATAAGAGCTATTTATGACAAACCCACAGCCGATATCATACTGAGTGGGCAAAAGCTGGAAGCATTCTCTTTGAAAACCAGCACAAGACAAGGATGCCCTCTCTCACCACTCCTATTCAACATAGTACTGGAAGTTCTGGCCAGGGCAATCAGGCAAGAGAAAGAAATAGAGGGTATTCAAATAGGAGAAGAGGAAGTCAAATTGTCTCTGTTTGCAGATGACATGACTGTATATTTAGAAAACCCCATCGTCTCAGCCCAAAATCTCCTTAAGCTGATAAGCAACTTCAGCAAAGTCTCAGGATACAAAAAAATCAATGTGCAAAAATCACAAGCATTCTTATACACCAATAATAGACAGAGAGCCAAATCATGAGTGAACTCCCATTCACAATTGCTACAAAGAGAATAAAATACCTGGGAATACAACTTACAAGGGATGTGAAGGACCTGTTCAAGGATAACTACAAACCACTACTCAGGGAAATAAGAGAGGACACAAACAAATGGAAAAACATTCCATCCTCATGGATAGGAAGAATCAATATCGTGAAAATGGCCATACGGCCATAAGTAATTTACAGATTCAGTGCTATACCCCTCAAGCTACCACTGACTTTCTTCACAGAATTAGAAAAAACTACTTTAAATTTCACATGGAACCAAAAAAGAGCCCATATAGCCAAGACAATCCTAAGCAAAACGAACAAAGCTGGAGGCATCATGCTACCTGATTTCAAACTATACTACAAGGCTACAGTAACCAAAACAGATATATAGACCGATGGAACAGAACAGAGGCCTCAGAAATAACGCCACACATCTACAACCATCTGATCTTGGACAAACCTGACACAAACTAACAATGGGGAAAGGATTCCCTATTTAATAAACAGGGTTGGGAAAACTGGCTAGCCATATGCAGAAAACTGAAACTGGTTTCCTTCCTTACACCTTATACAAAAATTAACTCAAGATGGATTAAAGACTTAAACATAAGACCTAAAACCATAAAAACGCAGAAGAAAACCTAGGAAATGCCATTCAGGACACAGGCATGGGCAAAGACTTCATGACTAAAACACCAAAAGCAATGGCAACAAAAGCCAAAATTGACAAATGGGATCTAATTAAACTAAAGAGCTTCTGCACAGCAAAAGAGTCTGTCATCAGAGTGAACAGGCAACCTACAGAATGGGAGAAAATGTTTGCCATCTATCCATCTGACAAAGGCTAATATCCAGAATCTACAAGGAACTTAAACAAATTTACGAGAAAAAAACAACCCCATCAAAAAGTGGGCAAAGGATATGAACAGACACTTTTCAAAAGAAGACATTTATGCAGCCAACAAACACATGAAAAAAAATAATCACTGGTCCTTAGAGCAATGCAAATCAAAACCACAATGAGATACCGTCTCATGCCAGTCAGAATGGCAATTATTAAAAAGTCAGGAAACAACAGATGCTGGAGAGGATGTGGAGAAATAGGAACACTTTTACACTGTTGGTGGGAGGGTAAATTAGTTCAACCATTGTGGAAGACAGTGTGGTGATTCCTCAAGGATCTAGAACTGGAAATAACATTTGACCCAGTGATCCCATTACTGGGTATATACCGAAGGATTATAAATCATTCTACTATAAAGACACATGCACACGTATGTTTATTTTGGCACTATTCACAATAGCAAAGACTTGGAACCAACCCAAATGCCCATCAGTGATAGATTGGATAAAGAAAATCTGGCATATATACACCATGGAATACTATGCAGCCATAAAAAAGGATGACTTA
The DNA here is from genome assembly GCF_000001405.40 of Homo sapiens. Taxonomy (NCBI): domain Eukaryota; kingdom Metazoa; phylum Chordata; class Mammalia; order Primates; family Hominidae; genus Homo; species Homo sapiens. The sequence continues at coordinate 76,364,338 of NC_000012.12, forward strand.
ATGTCCTTTGCAGGGACATGGATGAAGCTGGAAACCATCATTCTCAGCAAACTAACACAGGAACAGAAAACCAAATACCGCATGTTCTTACTCATAAGTGGGAGCTGAACAATGACAACACATGGACACAGGCAGGGGAACATCACACACCGGGACCTGTCGGTGGGTGGGAGGCTAGGGGAGGGATAGCATTAGGAGAAATACCTAATGTAGATGACAGGTTGATGGGTGCAGCAAACCACCATGGCACGTGTCTACCTATGTAACAAACCTGCACATTCTGTGCTTGTATCCCAGAACTTAAAGTATAATTAAAATAAATAAATTAATTAATTGACCATGGATGTCTGGCTTGACATTTAGACACTCAATTCTACTCCATTGGTCAATATGCCTGTTCTTACATAAGTACCACGTTCCTTTGATTACTATAGCTTTATAGTAAGTTTTGAAATCGAAAAGTGAGAGTCCTCTTTATACTTCTTTTTCAAAATTGTTTTGACTATTTGTGGCCCCTTGCAATTCCATGTGAATTTGAAAATCTGCTTTCCCATTTTTGCAAAAAAATAGGCTTGGAATATTGACATGGATTGTGGCGAATCTGTAGGTTGCTTTTAGTAGTACAGTTACGTCCTTATTTTTTTGAGACAGGGTCTCACTCTGTCTCCCAGGCTGGAGTATAGTAGTGCTGTCACTACACTTGACCTCTCTGGGCTCACGTGATCCTCCCATCTCAGCTTCCCGAGTAGCTGAGACTACAGGCGTGTGCCACCATGCCCAGCTGATTTTTCTATTTTTTGTAGAGACAGAGTTTTGCCATGTTGTCCAGTCTGGTCTCAAGCAGTCCCTCCGCCTCGGCCTCCCAAAGTGCTGAGGTTACAGGCATGAGCCACTGCGCCTGGCCAAAATCTTAACAATATTAACCTTTTCTACCTGAGAACATGAGGTGTCTTTCCCTTTATTTAGATGTTCTTTAATTTCTTTAGCAATGTTTTATAGTTTTCACTGTAGAAGTCTTCCAGCTTCTTGGTTAAATTTGTTCTTTTAGATGCTATTATTGAATTGCTTTCTTAATTTCAAGTGTTCACTGTTAGAAACACAACTGATTTTTGTGTGTTGATCTTATACCCTGCAATTTTTCTTAAGTTCATTAGCTCCAGTAGCTTTCTATGGATTCTTTGGGATTTTCTATATATAGGATAATGTCACCTGTTAATTAGAGATAGTTTTACTTGTTTCCAATTTTGATGACTTCTCTTTTTTTTCTTGCTCTGGCTAGAACTTCCAGTACAATGGTAAGTAGGAGTGGTGAAAGTGGGAATGTTTGTCTTGTTCCTGATGTTACGGGGAAGGTTTTCAACCTGTCACCACTGAATCTACTATTTGTGGGTTTTTCATAAATGCCCTTAATGATGTTGAGGAAGTCTCTTCTCTTCCTAGATTTATGAGGTCTTTCTTTTGTTTATGAAAGGGTGATGGATTTTGTCAAATGCCTTTTCTATGCCAATTGAAATGACCATGTGATTTTCCCCCCTCTTAATGTGATATATTACATTGATTTTCTTACGTGGAACCAACCTTGCATTTCTGGAATAAATTCCACTTGGTCATGGTGTATAATCTTTCTAATATGCTACTGAATTTTGTTTGCTAGTATTTTGTTAAGGATGTATGAATCTTATTTATAAAGGTTATTGTTTGTAACTTTATTTTCTTGTGATGTCTTTATCTGGCTTTGGCATTAGGGTAATGTTAGCCTCAGAGAATAAGTTAGGAAATGTTCCCATCTCTTCTATTTTTTAGAGTTTGAGAAGGATTTGTGCTTGTTCTTTAAAGTTTTGTAGAATTCACCAGTGCAGCCACCTGAACTTGAATTTTTCTTTGGAGGTTTTTGGTTACTGATTCAATCTCTTTATTGTTACAGCTCTATTGAGATTTTCTATTTCTTTTTGAGTCAGTTTATGTAATTTGTGAGTTTCTAGGGATTTGTTGGCATACAATTATTCATAGCATTCTCTCATAATCCTATTTCTTTATGATTGGTAGTAACATCCCCACTTTAATTTCTGATTTTAGTCATTTGTGTCTTCTTTCTTGCTTCCTTAGCCTAGCTGATGGTTTATCGATTTTGTTGATTTTTATCAAAGAGCAACTTTTGGTTTGGTTTCACAAATTCTATTTTTTTCCTACTCTCTATTTTGTTTATCTGTACTCTAATCTTCATTATTTTCTTCTTCTGCTAGCTTTGGGTTTAGTTTTTTCTTCTTTTTCCAGTTTCTCACGGAATGAAGTAAGGTTATTGATTTGAGATCTCTCTTAATGTAGATGTTCACAGATATATATTTTCCTTACCTTTGCTGCATCTCGTAAGTTTTGTTATACTATATATTTGTTTTCACTTGTCTAAGTATTATCTAATTTCCCTTGTGTTTTTCTTTGACCCATTGAGTTTGTTTTGTTTTGTTTTGTTTGTTTCTGAGACAAAGTCTCACTCTGTTGCCCAGGCTGGAGTGCAATGGTGTGATCTTGGCTCACTACAACCTCCGTCTCCCAGGTTCACATGATTCTCATGCCTCAACCAACTGAGTAGCTGGGATTTACTGAGACACGTCATATGGCATAACATATGGTCTATCCTGGAGAATGTTCCACGTACACTTGAGAAGAATGTGTATTCTTCCATGGTTGGGTGGATTGTTCTATGTGTCTGCTAGGTCAAGTTGGTTTACAGTGTGGTTCAAGTTAATCCCTTTCCTCCTTATTGATCTTCTATCTAGAGGTTCTACCCATTATTAAAAGTAGTTTACTGAATTCTTCATCTATTGTTATAGAGCTGTTTCTATCTTCCAATTCTGTCAGTTTGCTTTGTATATTTTGGGGCTTTGTTGATTGGTGTGTGTGTGTGTGTGTGTGTGTGTGTATGAATTGACCCTTTTATCAATACGCCATGTTCTTTTTGTCTCTTGTAACAATTTTTGACTTAAAGTCTATTTAGTCTGACAGTATAACCACCTCAGTTTTCCTTTGGTTACTATTGGCCACCTCATTTTTCCTTTGGTTACTATTTGCACATAATATTTTTTTCCAAACTTTCATTTTTCTCTATTTCTGCCTATGGATCTAAAGTGAATCTCTTGTACACAGCAAATAGTTGGGTCATGTTTATTTTAATCAATTTTTACAATCTGTCTTTTGCTCGGAGAGTTTAATCTATTTACATTTTAAAATAACTACTGATAAGAACTTACCTCTGATTTTGCTATTTTCTATACGTCATATACGTTTTTTGTTTCTTATTTACTCCATTACTGCCTGCTTTTGTGTTTGCTTCCTGTGTAAACTGTTTCAATTCCCTTCTCATTTTCTTTTGTGTGTATTTTTTTAGATATTTCATTTGTGGTTACTATGGGGATGACATTTACACCTACCTCTACAACAATCTAGTTTGAGTTGATACCAACTTAACTTCAGTAGTACATAAAAACTTTCCTCCTATACAGCTCCATCCTCTCTGCTTTTATGTTGTAATGAACTATATCTTTACACATTGTATGTCTGATAACAAAGATATGTAATTAAATTATTTTTCATTCATTTATTTTTTAAGTCCTGCAGGAAATAAAAAGTGGACTTACAAACTAAAATTACAATAGCACTAGCTTTTATATTTGTCCAACTATTTACTAAAAATCTTTATTTCTTCATACAGCTTTGAGTTTCATTTTATTACATATTTACCTTAGCATTTTTTTGTAGGGCAGGTCTAGTGGTAATGAACTCCCTCAGCTTTTATCTGGGAATGTCTTAATTTCTCCCCCATTTTCGAATGACAGTTTTGCCAGATACAGAATTCTTGATTGACAAGTTTTTGCTTCTACCACTTTAAATATGTCATCTCATTGCCTTCTGGCCCCCATGGTTTCTATAAGATATCGGTTGTTAATCCTATGGATGATCCCCAGTGTATGTGATAAGTTGTTTCTCTCTGCTGATTTTAAGACTCTCTTTGGCTTTTGACAGTTTGTTGTGGTGTGGGTCTCTCTGAGATCATCCTACTTGGAGTTTGTTGAGCTTCTTGAATTTGTAGATTTATATCTTCCACCAAATTTGGGGATTGGGGGGTCTTCTTTCCTTAAATATTCTTCATTCATTTTTCTGTCTTCTCTTTGTGGAACTCCCATAATGCAATGATAACCCACTTGATGGTGTCCCATGGGTCCTTTAGGCTCTGTTCACCTCACTTCATTCATTTTTCTTTCTCCTCCTCAGACTGGATAATTTTTATGGTCTTATCTCTAAGTTTCCTGATCCTGTCTTATGCTTGCTTATATCTGCTTTTGAATACCTCTAGTGAATTTTCATTTTTGTTATACTTTTCAGCTCCAGAATTTGTTTGGCTCCCTTGAATAATTTGTCTTTATTGATTTTCTCAGAGATGAGTGCCTGTGTAAGTCCTTCAGGTAGTATTCTGACAGGTTAGGACAGACATACACAATTGTGTATGAGGTCCACTCTGCTCCTTCTGGAACTAGGGACTTACACTGGCAACGCAGGGGCTCTTCAAGACTGCTACTGCACTGGGATGGACCTGGGGCAAGGGCAGGTAAAATGCCACAAAGCTTTCCTCTCTTTGCACTTTCTTGACCAGTGTTCACTTGGTTGCTGAACACCTCTGACTGTTTTCCAGAGTTCTGGCAAATTGAGTTGACAGTTTTTGCTTGTTTTCTGATGTTTCTTTGGGGTAAGAAGAGTTCAGAGCTGCGTATTTTGCTCACCCAAAATTTTAAATTTTGAAACCAAATTTTAGTTGGTTGCTATAGATACTAAAGATTTAACAGATTTATATACCTAGTGTACCTAGTTTTTTATTACATACCATTGGAGTACGATGTTTCACTTTGGTCTGAATAACACCATCTTTTTCAAACTGTATCATATCATTAAGTGGGTCCCATGGTCGGGTACTACATAAATGAAAAAAAAAAAAACCATTTGCTCAATGACTAAACAAAGAACTTTAAAACTTTCTATTCTATGATCCAATTTTATTAATAATTATATACATAGTTCTAATAATGAGATTTCCCCATACCTAATCTTCAGATCCTCAACTTATTTTATAGGCTAACTTCTATCATAGAGTCAAGCTTATAATGAATGCAAAACCAAGTTTAAAAATCTCACACTAATATACATGGTTTAATTAAATAAAAACTACTCCAGCAACAAATATTCTAGAAATAAAGGCAACAAACCATGCTAATACATTGTTTGAAATAAACTATTTTAAGTTACTTACTCTGCAAACTTGTAATGCCATTCTCCTGTGAGTGGATCAAGTTCAAATAATTTGCAAGACCACTCTTCATTTTTTGTTTTCCGATCCCTGGCAGCTTGTCTTTGAGCTTCTTCCAAAACATACTTCTCTTGGGTAGCTTCAGTTTGGTCTTTGGCATTTATGGCTCGAGTTACCCGTTGCCAGAGTCTAATACATGTGCGAAAATATTAAAAGTATTAAAAATGTAACAGAAAATAAAATCTATATAGAATAGGCCTCAAATCCCTTGTAGAGAAAATAATGCTCACATGAATTTCTGGCTTTGACAACACTTATGCTCATAGGCTTAGAAATGAGTCAAGATATAAATCCAGTCCCTTGAGTAGAGAGAGACCTGTTCATAAGTGGAGACTAATTTTTTTTACTTGGCAAGAGAAACTTACTACATAGACTCTTAAACTCATGATAGTAAGTGTTGAAGTGTTGCTGGCTCAAGATGATAGGATGTAATGAAGGTAAAGCTCAGGAATCTACGCTTTTAGCAAGCTTCCTAGATGCGTCTTACACTGTTTAAGATTCACTGGCTTCATAAAGATCCATTAATGTAATGCAGTGCTTCTGAAGTTTGGATCCATGAATTATCAGAGAATTTTTATAATCAGAATCTCTGGGGTCAGGCGCAAGTATTGATATATTTTTTAAATGTTTCCCCAAAATATTTTAATGTATTGCTAGTGTTGAGAACCACTGGTTTAACAGAAAAGACTACTGAGGTAAAATGATTTCCCCTACTAGTTCTTTCTTCTGTTAAATAAAAGTATATCTATATCCTACCCATCTAGAAAGGCAGCATGTTAAAACCAGAAAAGGCTTTGGGATCAGATAGACATGAGTCAAGTCCTAGAGCTGCCACTTCTTAGCTGGTGCACTTAAAGTTATTTATCCTAAGTCTCATTTCCTCATCTTCAAATATGCTGAATTATATACTCTCACAAATTATCATATGTATGCCTTGGCAAAGCTTATCTCTGGAAAAAGAACATCAAATGGTTATGGCTGAGACAGAATTTTTAGAACTGGTACATATACATTCTTCCATCTTTGACAACCTCAAATTTGAGTGTAGAAGGGAAGGTACACAGACTTGAATTCCCATGACAGAGAATGATATGTATGTGCAAACATGTAGGGAGGACAAAGTTGCATAATAAGTACTAAGTGCCTAGCAAAATATCTCTTATACATAAGTCTCTTTCTCTTAACACAAAGATATAACAACAATAAAATAGGGAATGTGTATACAATATTTCTGATTCAAAAATATAAGCCATCTAGCAAGAAGTTCATGACTTAAGAACAGAAATGATAGCCTTAGTTATTACCCAACTAATAAATCCTATAGAAGCCAGTCCATCCAGTAACTTTACTTTTGTATCAGAGAATGGAACAGAAGTAGATTCTGCACCACTCCCTTTACCTAGAGTTCTAATGCTTAAATCAGGTTAGAAAACTGTTGCCAGGTAGAAACTAAGAGTCATTAATTAGTCCTGTAATCTTATTTAAACAAAAACGTTCTTTCTTTCTTTTTTTTTAAGGTGCTGGAACAATTGAGAAAGAAAAAAATGAGTAGTTTTGAGCTACAGAAAAGCAAGACGATTTATATTATATTTGACATTCATATACACAAAAACAGAATACTGTCACTTCCACAAATGATAAACTATTTTGCTGAATTAAGATATGACAGAAGGTGACAAAATGACCATATCATTAAGGAATTGAAAAACTACTCTCTGATCCTCATGAAGTTAGCTGTAAAACAGTATACTTACTTCTCTGATTCAAAATCTCCCTGTTCTTCAAATTTTACAGTGTGCCTTATTAATCTCCATTGCTTAATGTCAGGTGTTGGATTCCAGAAAACCTCTGAATTATCAGTCTTTTTATCAGTAATAAAAACTTCACTATCCTATATTTAAAAAAATTCAAAATTAATGTAAAGAATTATACTTAGAAGGCAATTATATAGTATAGTAATATGACGGTGATAATTTCTTCTGGTTAATCCTCCAGTTAAAAGCATTTTTAAAACAAATATAACTAGCACTTTTCCAAAAACTCCAAGTTTCTTATCATTTTTATAAAAACATTAAGATTGACTACGTAATACTAGTTAATTAAAAAGAATTTGGTTGAATATCCAGTTTGTGAAATTTCATAAGTTTTACTTAATAAATTTCAAACATTACATGCAAAGCCTCAATAACCATCTCCAAACTGTCCAAGTAGAGCATAGTATTTGTTGCAGCTACAATGAGATGCTGTTGACTATCCATGGATTCAATATACTCAAACATACACACACACACATCCCTCTGAAAGAGCCTTTACTAGCATTAAAAATTTGAGGTCTATCTCTATCGAATAATCTTTCTATCTAAGACATGGACGGTCTTGCTCTCTTGTGTAGGCTGGAGTGCAGCGGTGCTATCTACCTTATCTATCTAATCTATTTTACCTATCTAATTTATCTACCTGTTTAACCATCCTTCTCCTTCTCTCTCTCTCTGTCATCTCTCACTCTCATCTCTATCTTATCTATCTGTCTGAGACAGGGTCTTGCTTTCTCACCCAGGCTGGAGGGCAGTAGCACAATCATGGCTCACTGCAGCTTCCACCTCCCAGGCTCAAGCAATCTTCCTGCCTTAGCTTCCTGAGTAGCTGGGACAGGCATGTGCCATCATGCCCATCTAATTTTTTTATTTTTATGTTTAGTAGAGAAGAGGTCTTGTTATGTCACCCAGGCTGATCTCAAACTCCTGAGCTTCCCAAAGTGCTGGAATTATAGGTGTGAGCCACCCCACCCAGACAGAAATTTCATTTTTTAAAAATGACTGCTGCTTTATCTTTTTTCCAGAAGACTCTCAGATTTAAGGCAATTAAAAAAAATTTTCAGAGTGTATGTGGCCACTTAACAAAGTCCCTAACTTCACTTTCTCATATTTCTCAACATTTTCTGCTTACTGCATGCAGAAAGGAGCATATACTCAGTGCTCATAGTATGGTATATCCATGCAGTACCATGATTCTTTTTATTCATTTAAGCGTCTCTTAACAAAATTACATAAATATGAATTTAGGTTAGCAGAGAAGTAAATAAAAGCCATTGCTCTCACACACCACTATATCCTTTCCATGTTCCACTGAAAGGAATATAACTCTAATTGGAACTATGCCTCTTTCTTCTATGTGAGTAGAGTGCTGTGCATAAAAGCACAGTCCTGGGGCCAGGGTTCCTGGGCTTTAATTCTTGTTCCACTACCTACTTTGAGCAAATTATGTGAACTCTCTGTGCCTCAGTGTCCTCTTCTGTAAAATGGGGACAATAATAAACAATAATAAAATGGGCATGGCACCTATATACTCACCTCATAGCGTTATATGTTATAAATATTAAATCAGTTAATATGAGTAACATTCTTAAATAATGCAGTAAGTCATATATAAGTGTTAGCTATTTCTACTGATTTTAAGTTTTGGAAATAAAATATTACACAAAATTAACTACTGTTGATAACAGAACACCACCAAAATATCTGCTATTAAGATGAAGCTTATGTTAAATAGTGATGTTTTCAGCAACGGAATAAGTTTTAAATTTTAAATGTGATTTTTTTTTTCCCACAGAATAAAATTCTTTTTGTAAAGCTCATATACAAAATACTTACCCAATGACCTTCCAAAGTAGCTAGGACTTCTTTTCCCAGTTTAAGTTTCCCTGATATTTGATTAACACAGTCACTACTCCCTAGGAATGGCTTTTAAACGAGAAAATGTTAAACATTTTACTTTTCACTTATATTTACATATAATGTAAAACCAAAACAAAAAACCCAACAAAAATTGCTTGTATAGTTACAGTACTATTGAATGCACAAGCAGTAAAAAAATACTGACTCAAATTTTAGTTAGAAATGTTTAATAAGAAATCTGAATTGCTGCTATGAAAAAAATAGGATAAAACAAGCAGACTATATTAAATCAAAATAAACATATTAAGAAAGATCACCCTGATATAACTGACTCATGTTCCATGTATGCTCAAATCCTGTGTCCTCCCCTGTCAAGACTGTGCCCTATCAATGTGACGTTATCTTAAGCAATAACAACTCAATAAACCTAATGGAATTAACGATCCATTGAAATAAATAACACCCCTTCCTTAAAAAACAAACAAACAAAAGTAAAATATATAGCCAAAAAAAGCCTCCAAAAAATAAAATTAGAAGGAATACACTGAGTTACTATAATGCCTTACTAACATCTCTCCTTAGAGACAAAATTTTGATGCTCCAATGTCATACTTAAAGGCATCATATATACTTAAGAACTCATTCATCATGATCTTCAAACATTATCATCACCATACAAGGAAAATTTTGCCAAGGTGAAAGAAAAATAAAATAAAAGACATTGCATCAAATAATACTTAAGAGGTCTTTTTTATCAGAGCAAAATTGCTTATCAGCTGGATATCAACATAGCAGCAATTTAGTAATAAATATTACTAGTTTACAGAAATATTTTTATCTGAATATACTATTGTTCAAGAACAATTAATTCACATTAAGTTCTCAAATTTCCCTTTCATTTTGAGGCAGACAAAAATTTCCAAAGATGGCCTTGACAATACGTACCCTCTCCCCTTCAGCCCACATACTCTTCCTCAAGGAGACCTTGCCACTCTCCCAATGAGAAGTGGGGTCTATATTTCTTCTCCTTGAATTTGGGTGGTCTTACAATTCTCCAAATAATAGAAGATGGTGGAAGTGATATAATTTGGCTTCTCAGGCTAGGTCATGGAAAGGAAATGCAGTTTCTGTCTTGCTCACTGGGGCACTTGCACTTTGAAACCCTCAACTGCCAAGTAAGAAGTCTACTTTGAGGCTGTCATGCTGTCAGGAAATCAAGTCACATGGAAAGGCCATGTATACAGGTGCTCAGATTAGCAGTTCTAGTCCTTCGGTCACCCTAGACCAGGTATCAGATATGTAAGTGATAAGCCTTCAGGTGATTACAGTCCCTAACTATTGAGTCACCCATGGCCTACAAAGTCTTTCTGAGACCCCAGACATTATGAAGCAGAGATAAGCTATCCCCAGTATACCCTGTCCAAATTTTTGACTCACAGAACTCATGAGGAACAGCACATAGTTATTAAGTCTGTGAGTTTTAGAGTAACTTATTACACAGAAATAGTGACTAATACAACTGTGCCTTGGTTTACACAGCTAGACTGCAAGATGACACATATCTTCTGGTATTTGGTAAAAACAATCCTTTAATTTACTAAGAAATTTCTATCCAATCACTTCTTAAATCTCATCTTCTATATAATACCCACAGTTTTATTAATTAAGATGAAAAACAAAAAATGTCTTTTGTGTTAATTTGAATTTTCCAAGGCTGCTATCTTAGGCTACCCGAAGATACTCACCCAGCCTTGCCCTTATTCCTTAGATGCACTTATCCTTGACATGACATAAATTGTGTTCTTACATTTAGTCCTTAATTAGGAAATACATGGTGCCCTTTATTCAATATTTATTGTATGGCTCTCCTTTAGCTAGGTGATACCTACTGTATTGTCTACTAACCTTTAGTTTAAATTCAAGTATTGCACTGTATCCAGTTTTTTGACATGTAATATTGACTGTTCCACCAAGCTCCAGTGTCATTGTACCATAAAGAATTCCTAAAGGAAAAAGATTTGACAAAAAATTGAAAAGAGTATAGTATAGTATATGGCTCACGATAAACAGTTTAGTAATCTAATCTTTTAGGAGAAACATAATTCAAAATCACTCTGTCCCACTCAAATGAAAAACTATAATATAGACATACAGTTGGTTCTGTAGGATATAAATAGATAACACCTGATTCACATTATGTGCAGATTCCCTATCTGTAAATTCACCTACTCAGTAAAATATCAATACCCACAGTACTTCTGTAGTCATTTGGAGACATGTGCAGAGTAGCGAAAAATTTGAGTCACCCAATGCACACATTCTGAGCTGAGGCTGAGCAAGGCAAACACTCTTGGTTCAGCTCCCACATTGTTTTAAAAAAAAAAAAAAAGTGTCCTTTTTGCAGTGTATTTAGTATCATGTTTTCACATTTTGTGCTTTTCACTGGTGGTTTTGCTGTTTAAAATGGACCCACATGTAGTGTTGCAGTGCTGTCTAGTGTTCCTAAGTGCAAGAAAGCTATACTGTATTTTACAGGGAAAATGTGTGTTAAAAGCTACGTTTAGGCTTTAGTTCTGTTGGCTGTTAGTTCAATGTTAATGAATCAATAATATGTAATTAATGTTATAATTACATCAGGTTTCTTTAAATAGAAGCATATATAAAACAAGGTTATGTACTGATTAACTGGCTGATGAAAATGTTGGCACAAGAGGCTCACAGGAATCCAATCTCATACTCCCCCAGGAGCAATGGCTCAGTATTTGCTAACTCAGTGGTGACTTTATGTAACATAACTACTGCAAATAACAAGAATCAAATGCATAAGCAAAGCAAACAAAAAACTACAAAATAAGTTCTGTGGTTAAAAGCTGGGGAAACTCTGGGTTTAACAAAGCTAAACAGGTTGTGTGTGTATCTGCTGTTGGTCTAAGATGCTAAGGCAGCCTTTAACATGCAATGTACAATATTATCTTTTGAGAGGGGAACAGACTATGCAATGTTTCTCAAATTTATTTGGCTATGGAACTCTTATTTTACAAAACAATTTGTGAGACTAGTGACTTGGGGGAACACACCTTAGAAAACATACAGGGTGAAACATCTTATAAAAATCATTTCATATGCTCATTCGCAAGTGGTTATAACTTCTTTTCTTTTTCCATGCATTGCTATAAAAAATTTTCCCTATTGTAAGCTAAGTAGCGCATGGATATCTACATGGAATATAGTTTTATTTTTTCTAAATGATAGAAAATTTAAAAATATGTGTTCTTATCAATTCATAATTAAAGATATTTCACTCCATGCTTACTTCAAGAACTATACTTGAAGCTCTAAGAATAATCTAGACTAAGGCCATAAGTTAGGCTCTTTTGTACATGCTGGGTTGGCCTTCGATAAGATTCAGCCCTCCGAGATTTCTCAACTGTGTGTTCTGGGATACATGTGCAGAACGTGAAGCTTTGTTATATAGGTATACACGTGCCATGGTGGTTTGCTGCACCTATCAACCCATCATCTACATTAGGTATTTCTCCTAATGCTATCCCTCCCCTTGCCCCCCACCTCCCAATAGGTCTCAGTGTATGATGTTCCCCTCCCTGTGCCCATGTGTTCTCATTGTTCAACTCCCACTTATGAGTGAGATCATGTGGTGTTTGGTTTTCTGTTTCTGTGTTAGTTTGCTGAGAATGATGGTTTCCAGCTTCATCCATGTCCCTGCAAAGGACATAAACTCATCCTTTTTTATGGCTGCATAGTGTTCCATGGTGTGTATGTGCCACATTTTCTTTATCCAGTTTATCACTGATGGGCATTTGGGTTGGTCCCAAGTCTTTGCTATTGTGAATAGTGCTGCAATAAACATACGTGTACATGTGTCTTTATAGCAGAATAATGTATAACCCTTTGGGTATATACCCAGTAATGTGATTGCTGGGTCAAATGGTATTTCTAGTTCTAGATCCTTGAGGGATAGCCACACCGTCTTCCACAATAGCTGAACTAATTTACACTCCCACCAACAGTGTAAAATTGTTCCTATTTCTGCACATCCTCTCCAGCATCTGTTATTTCCTGACTTTTTAATGATCACCATTCTAACTGGCATGAGATGCTATCTCATTGTGGTTTGATTTGCATTTCTCTAATGATCAGTGATAATGAGCTTTTTTTCATGTTGGTCACATAAATGTCTTCTTTTGAAAAGTGTCTGTTCGTATCCTTTGCCCACTTTTCATATTGAATAATTTATATGTTTTCATGAATCAGTTCCCAAAATAGAGGATAATTACCAAAAAAGGTATTTTTAAGATTTTAAGAAACCGGTTGGAAGGGAGGATACACATCATGACCACACTAAACTGATGCAAAATAGTTGAAAGTTCAGAGTGCAGAGGTAAACCACCTGGGTTCAGATCCTGACTTGCCACATTTTAGCTGTATGATCTCAGGCATATTAACCTCTCTGTGCTTCATTTTTCCTCTTCTAAAAAAGGGAATAATAATATTTCTATTTTATAGGAGCTGCTGAAATGATTAAATAAATGCATTGAACAGTTGGGTGCCTAGCATGTTGTAATGTTATAGATGACAATTATTATGTAATACCCTTATCTGTATTTTAAATAATGGGGCAAAAAGCATAATACATTAAGAAATTGCCAAATGAGGGTGAGAAAAATCTTTAAAAAACTTGGTACATTAAAAAATAGTAAATTAAAATTTTAAAAAAGCATGGTGGTGCAAAAAGATGAAAATCATCTTTACAGATTCTGAAATAATAGACGGTTTTGTCAAATTTGAAAATTTGCACATCAGGCAAGTGCAAAGAAATTCCATTATGATAAATCAGTCTCTTCTGACTAAAGTACACATCACAAAGAGTCCATTACAGGTGAATTAATTCACCGCAGAAATATTCAGCAAATGATAGCAATAATCTTAAATATCTGTAATCCAAGGATGCTTTCAAACAAAATGTAAGTCTGACTCCATCAATCACAAAGCATAACAAATCACAGCTACATACATTTACTTAAAAGGAAAGCTTAATATCTAATTCAAGTATAGAAAATATTTACCTTTACAATGAGCGTATGGCATTGTCATTACATAATCTTCACCTCTATTCAAGAAAGTTAACCGTGCTTCTCCCTCTAATATTGCAGATAATGAGTTTCCTGAAATAAAATGTTGTTTATTAAATTTCACAAAACTTATTCAACCAATTCAAAACAAACAAAATATATTTAGAACACCTACCAGACATCTACAGTAGAAAGTCTTAAAAATGTCTCAATCTCAATGTGCCCAAACATGTATTCATTACCTTATATCCAAAACATATTTCATCCATATTCTCATTTTTACATAATGACTACTTTTAAAAGATACAGTTATGTGCTTTTTTTTTTGAGATGGAGTCTCTGTCACTCTGTTGCCCAGGCTGGAGTGCAGTGGAGTGATCTCGACTCACTGTAATCTCCACCTCCAGGGTTCAGCAATTCTCCTGTCTCAGCCTCCTGAGTGGCTGGGATTACAGGCGTGCACCACCATACCCAGCTAATTTTTATATTTGTAGTAGAGACAGGGTTTCCCCATGTTGGCCAAGCTGATTTTAACTCCTGACCTTGGGTGATCTGCCCACCTTGGGTGATCTGCCCACCTCGGCCTCCCAAAGTGCTGGGATTACAGGCATGAGCCACTGCACCCGGCCTGTTTTATGAGAGTTACAAGAAAATGAGAAAACATGTAGAATACTTAATCTTAATAAAACACTGTTTCACTGTATAGCCTAATTTTCTTTTTTGAATAAAACCATTATTTTTTAGCTGTAAGTCACATTACTTACAAATCTCAAGCTTTAAATGCTTATAATTAATCCTATAGACAATTTAGAAAAATAAAAAATATATATAAAGCACCAAAATGCAGTCAACGATAAAATACTATGGTAATTTCTTCTAAGTTTTCTCCTGTATGCATTTTCTCTCCTTCTATTCTCAGCTTTACTGAAGTATAAATTTACATACAGTAACTAACCCATTTTAAGTGTGAAATTTGAGTTTTGGAAATTGCAGAGTCATATAACCACCACCACAATCAAGATATAGAACTTCCCATTATCCCCAAAAAGTTCCTCCTTGCCCCTGAGCAGTCAATCCTTTCCCTTAGCCCCAGGACACCAATGGTGCATTTTAAATCACTGGCTTTACCTATTCTAGAATTCTGTACAGATGGCATTATAGAATATGTAGCTTGCTGTGTTTTACTTCCTTCAATTAGCACAATGTCTTTCAGGTTCATCCACATTGTTGTATAAGAATTCTATTCCTTTTTATTGCTAGTTAGCATTCTGTAGTTGTGATTATTTCCTTACTAGTTGATGGTCCTTAAGTTGTGTTTAGTCCTGGATTGTTATGAATAATGTTGTGTATACTTAAGAACATTTACGTACAAGTCTTTATGTAGACATCTATTTTCATTTTTCATGGGCAAATACCTAGGAGTGGAATTTCTGAGTTCATGGTAAATGTATGTTTAACTATGGACAATCATTTCTCCCATGTCAAAAAACATTTGACCATGTGTACAGGTCTACATCTGAACTCTATTGCATCCCATTAATTTATACATCTACCATTACGTCAATTCCACACTGTAATGATTACCTTAGCTTTATTCTAAAATCAGGCAGTGAAAGACCTTTCTTGTTCTTTTTCAAAATTGTTTGGCTGTTTTGGGTCCTTGACTTTTCAACGTAATTTGAGAGCCAACTTGCCAATATCTTCAAAAAAGCCTGCTTAGATTATGATTAGGATTGCACTGAGTCTATGGCTCAATTAAGGGAGCTCTATTATCTTAACACTATTAAATATCTCAATATATAAACATAGTCTATCTATCCATTTATTTGGATCTTCTTTAATTTTCCTCAGCAATGTTTTAGTCTTCAGTATACACGACTTACACATCTTTTATTAAATTTATTTTTAAATACATTATTTGGATGCTATTATAATTGGAGTTGTTTTTAAATTTCATTCTGAGCCAGGCATGGTGATGTGTGCCTGTAATCCCAGCTACTCAGGAGGCTGAGGTGAGAGGATCCCTTGAGCTCAGGAGTTTGAGACCAGCAACATAGTGAGACACTGTCCCAAAAAAAAAAAAAAAAAAACCCTCTGCAAGTATTCATTTCTAGTATATAGAAATACAACTGATTTTTCTTTTTTGACCATGCATCTTGAGACCTTACTAAATTCACTTATTAGTTGTATGAGCTTTTTTTGTATATTCTTGAAGATTTTCTATGTAATCTGGTATATAAATAGCTTATCTTCTTCCTTTCAATCTGTATGCTATTTTTCCCTTTAATTTGCCTACTGCATTGGCTAGGACCTCTAATACAATTTTGTATAGAAGTAATGAGAGTAAACATCCTTGCCTTGTTCTTGATCTTAGGTAGAAATTATTCAATTTTCACCTTAAAAGTATGAAGTTGGCTATATATTTTTCATAGATGCCTTTAATCTAGTCCTAGTTCCTTGAGGACTAAGAAATAAATAGGTGTTGAATTCTGTCAAATCATTTTTCCATATCTATCGAAATCACACTTTTCTTCTCTGTTATTCTATTAATATGGTAAATTACATTGTTTATCAGATGGTAAACCAACCTTGTATTCCTGAGATAAAATCCATTTCATCATATTATTCTTTTAATATACTGATCATGATACCTTTATTTATATGTCCATATATTATTCTCCCTATCTGTTGATTTGTTACTACTTAAGAATTTTTACATGTATAAGGATATTAGATCTGTAGTTTATTTTCTTGTAATCTCTGGTTTGGGGAATCAGGATAATCCTGGCCTCATAAAATGATCTGAGGAGTGTTTTTTCTTCTTCTATTTTATGCCAAAAATTGTGTAGAACTGTTATTTCTGCCTTAAATCTTTAGAAGAACTCAAGACATCTGGGCCTGGAGTATATCCTTGAAGAAATATTTTACATTACTAAATCAATTTATCTGATATAAAGCTATTACAATTTTACACCACTTCTTGGGTCAGCTGTGGTAATTTGTGTCTCTTAAGAAATTTGTCCATTTCAAATTTCTATCTCTTTTAATTCTGTCTATTTTTGCTTCATTGAAGTTCTGTGATTAGATACACAGGCATTTATGATTATTATGTTATCCTGACGTACTGAACCTTTTTATTTCATTATGAAATGTTCTTTATCTCTATTAACACTTTTTGTTTTGAAATCTATTTTATTAATATACTCACTTAACCCTACTTGTACTTAATACTTGCATAGTTTAGCTTTTAACTTTTACTTTCCATTTACTTTCTTTTTTTTTTTTTCCTTTCTTGAGACAGAGTCTTGCTCTTGTTGCCCAGGCTGGAGTGCAGTGGCATGATCTCAGCTCATTGCAACCTCTGCCTCCCGGGTTCAAGTGATTCTCCTGCCTTAGCACTCCAAGTAGCTGGGATTACAGGTGTACACCACCATGCCCAGCTAATTTTTGTATTTTTAGTAGAGACAGGGTTTCACCATTTTGGCCTGGCTAGTATTGAACTCCTGACCTCAGGTGATCCACCCACCTTGGTCTCCCAAAGTGCTGGGATTACATGCCTGAGCCACCATGCGCGGCCTACTTTCCATTTACTTTCAGCCTATTTGTGTGTCTACATTTAAGGTATGTTGGTCCTTGCTGTTTTAGCTAATCTGATAATCACTGTCTTTAAATGAGATTATTTGGGCCATTAAGACTGATACAATCATATTATTGGGTTTTAGTCTATCATTTTGCTATGTGTTTTCTATCTGTCCCCTCTGATTTTTGTTCCTTGATTGGGCTTTCCTGTTTCTTTTATACATTATTTAAATTATTGTTTAAATTTTTTAAAGAATTTCATTTTAATTTTCTTACTGATTTTTTACCTATACTTTTTGGTGGCGATTTTTCTTTGTGTGTGTGTGTGTTTGCTCTAGTGTAGGGCTTCTCAATGGTAGCACTACTGACATTTAGGGGACTGGATAATTATTTGTTGTAAGGGGTTGTTCTGTGCATTGCAGGATGTTTAGCAGCATTCCTGGCATCTACCTACTGGATCTCCCAACTGTGAGAACCCAAAATGTCTTCAGACATTGCCAAATGTCTCCTGAGGAGAACCACTGCTTTAGGGATTACAATATTAATCTTTAAAATGTCACAGTCGGCTGGGTGCAGTGGCTCACGCCTGTAACCCCAGCACTTTGGGAGGCTGAGGCGGGTGGATCACTTGAGGTCAGGAGTTCGAGACCAGCCTGACCAACATGGTGAAACCCCATCTCTACTAAAAATACAAAAATCAGCTGGGTGTGGTGGTGGGTGCCTGTAATCCCAGGTACTTGGGAGGCTGAGGCAGGAGAATAGCTTGAACCCGGGAGGCAGAGGTTGCAGTGAGCCGAGATTGTGCCATTGCACTCACAGTTAATCTTTGACCACTTTATATAGAATAGAAAATTTTGCTATCTCTAGGTCCATTCTCTTCCAGGGCTGTGTACTGTAGTTACATGTGTTAAATCTGCATATGTTATAAAACTCACAAGATAATGCTGACATTTCTGTTTTGAATGGTTACATGTATTAAAAGGAAAAAATAAGAAAAAATGTCTTTTGAATTTACCCATATGTTTACCAATTCTGACGATCTTAAATTCATTCTGGATTTAATAGATTCTTTCAAATTATAAAGGAACAGATAGCTCTGATGTATATAAATTGTACTATAACACAGAAAAAAGGCCCACTGATGAAGTAATCCCAGAAAGTGAGCTATGCACCTCGTACTCAATAAAAATTTCTATAAGGGTAGAACACACACTCAGAAAAGCCATTTATACTATAGTCAGGGTAGAAGAATGGAGGGATGAAAGGTGAAGTAGGTAAGAAATATATCAAATATGAAATATAGATAAACTTAAGGGGAAAAAAACAAGCAATCACCATCTTAAACAAAACAAGGTTAAAAAAAAAAAAACCCAAAACCAAACCAAAACGAACATCAAGGGAAATAAAAGACACCTTGAAGAAATATAACAATACACACCACGTTCCTGATCAAAAACTACTCTTAGATATCCCTGTTGCAGACTGAACTATGGCTCACCACACGCTCAGGTAACCAGACCTTGGATTTCTGTTTACATACTTTATTTTTCCTTTTTTATCATAATGATTTTTTTCACTCAGGTTTAAAATTCTTTGGTTGAAATTTAATTGTTCTTCTTCATTTAAATATTTTTTAAAACTATATAAAAGCATTTTAAGGTTAGATATGTTTTACTGGTATATAGCTTTGGCAATGATTTGTTTGAACTATCAAAGTTTTTATATTAATGTTTCCTACTATAACCATTTCTCTATTTTCCCTTGTACTTGCAAACAGTTTTTTTGGTATGTTATTTAGTCCAAAGTTAAATATATTTACTGACTGACCCTGGGCCAGGTATCGTAACCATACTTGGATTCTTCCTCTCTGTTCAAAGACTAAAATAGAAAGACTAATCCCTTAGATACACTGAAATGAAACACAAAAAACTGGCCAGACTAAAGGCAAAAGAAACACTTTATGCACTAAAGGGCTATAATGGGCAATCATTCTGTCTTTTCATAAGAAATGTTTGTGATATATTCACATATATGTGATGAATACATAAGCCACACCTTTATTTATGAGTGGGCAGAAAAAAGCCATTATTCAAGGAAAGATGATACTTAAAATGACAAACTCCTTGTTGAAAATAGCCCATGACACTGCCTAAATAAAAGCTCACCAGAAAATAATACCTCCCAGGAGAGGGTGCAAGTTGGGACGGGAAAACTCACCATAAAACTTAGACTTAGCCAGGATACTACCGCTAAGGCAAAATCCATCTTTTCGATTACTAACATAAAAGGCAGATATTGGTGGATGATGGGACACCTATTAAACATAAGAAAAACATGCATATATAAAATATAAAAACATGTTTATATAAAATATAAAAAGATAAGCATATTATTGTGCCATTATCAAAAGTTCAAGTCTTATAATGAGTAAGAAAAAACATTTAATAAGTAGTAAAAATTAAATATTGATGGTTATAGTAACCAGCCTCCTGTCTCCTAATGAGACCCACCCTCCTGGTAGTCACATAGGCCCCTCTTATATTGTACTGAAGTTGGTTTGTGTGGAAGTGACACTATGTAATTTCTGAGATTAGGTTACAAAGCACCTTCCATGCTGGGGGCTGTCTCTCTGCCTATCTCTCAATCATTAGTTCTGAAAAGCCAGCTTTGAGATTGTGAAAAACCCTACAGAGAGGGCTACGTGGTGAGGAACTGAGCTCTTCTGTCAACAGCCAGGTGATGAACCTGGACGTGAATCTTCCAGCCCAGTCAAGCCTGTAGATGACTGCAAAGCTGGCTGACAGTTTGACTGCAAGCTCATTAGAAATCCTGAGCAGGAACCACCCAACTAAGCAGCTCTCAGATTCCTGTACCTCATCATATAAGATAATAAATACTGCTTTAACTCAGTTTTGGCACTAATTTTTTAGACAGCAATGGATAACTAATACAGTGATTAGTCTTCATATGGATTACTGAATGACTATAGGAAACAAAAACAAAAAACATGTTATTTAATAATCTAATGCCTTCAACAATATATTTACTTCTAATGTTCTCTTACATGAGACAAACTAAAATCAGCATTTCAAGCTTCTTAATTTCATGAAGAATTAAATCATTGAGTTTTAAAAAATTAATATAGATAAGTGGTTTTGACTTGAGGGGGTTATCAAAACCTCTAGGAGAAGAAGGTTTTTCAAAGAACACATGGTCTTTTCATTCTCCTTACACTCAAAGTGAGAATTACCATAATAAGGAGCCACTGTTATTGAAAGAGAATGTCGTATTCCTCAAGTTTATGCAGACAGAAGACTGAAAATCATGATTATGGATGTATATGAGTTCAAATTAATGAAAGTTTAAAAATTAAAATATTTTCTGTCTGTATACAACAAAAAGAGAGGTATCATAGGGGAGAAGAGGGAATTAAAGAAGCTAACAATTCAATTAGGAAAATAAATATTCTGTAAAAAGGTAAACGATACAAATGTTAAAATAAGAGCTTAATGGATAATCACAAAAAACAATACAGAAGTTTGAGAAGGGAAAAATCACTGGGAGCTGCAGTCATGTGCATCATGAAGAATAAGCGGGTCAGGGTTTGTTTAGATAAAGAATAGCTAAGAAGAAATACTGGAGTGTGAGAATTAAATTTAAAAATGAGGAAAGAAAGTGCTAGATCAGGTTACCTAGTCATGAACTGCACAGGTTTGACTACTGTGGAGAACTAGAAAGGTATTAATTTGAGATAAATTTGGAAAAGATATAAAGGACTTTGAATGCCAGACAAATGAATGCCACACCACTGAATAATTTTGAGCATGATCAAAAGTTGTTTAGGAAATATGAGCTCAGCCAAAAAAAAAAATTAAAAAAAGGGCAGGGGGCATAGCAAAGGAAAAATAAAGATTTATTTTTGGTCAAAGGATTCCATGACTGTAATAATAGTACCTATGAATATATTTAGTAGTACTTTAGTAGTATTTAATATTAAAAGGTTAAATGTTTACCAAATGTTCAGAAATAAGAAAGGCTAAATAATATTGAGTTTACTGGGTAAATATTTTCTATAAAAATATTCCAATAACTTCCAGATCAGTTTTGTTTCCATACATGCATTTCTAATACCTGTTCAGCAATATAAAAAGTTTTGCTGTTTGTTCTGGGATGAATCCATAAACAACGGAAAGTCTCGCCAAGTATAGGATTATAAGGTTTCTTCAGTCCCTGGTAAAAAAAAAAAAAAGCAATTTCAAATTACAAATACAAAGGATTCAAAATAGTTTAAACTAGTCAAAATGGGTTTAACTCTACCATCTGGGAACCGTCCTTATAAAATTTCAAAGTAAATAAAATTTACATTAAATAAAATTAAATGACTTCAATCATAATACATGTCTAAATGATCAGGTATTTTGCAATTTTGCTACGTCAAAGAAGCCCAGTAATGTAACTGTTAACACACAATCTACAGATTACATAAAATATAAAGAATTCATAAAACACTAAAGACAATAAAATGTAAACAAACATTATTACCTTTGGCTTTTTATAGAATCCTGACAAATACCATTTCACTACTTTCTTCAAACGGAAATAAGGATTTTCTTCAAGAGCTGCCCTAAAACACAAAACGGTAAACAAAAATTTTAAAAAATGTATCACAAATTCTCTCTCACATTTATTAACCAATAACCGAGTATGAAACATGATTGGAAAACATAATTCTTATTTTAAATGGATGACAAAACAACCATGTAATCAATTTTCAACCATGTAAATCAATTTCTGTTTTTCTTAACCTGGTCACATTTTCCCCCATTTTCCTATTCTTTGATACACTGCCTGGGTCTTCGCTAAAGTAGTTTTTGGAAACTCTCCAAACCAAGGTTTCTGAATTGGTATTCTGCAGAACCTGAGATGTTGTTAGGGGCTCTGTGAAAATTGTGATTGAAAAAAATAAACATGGATTTTGGATTCAGGCACTGTGTGATTTCTAGCATTTGCAATGTTAGGCAGTGGCCAAGCAGCCTCATTAACAATTTTGTTAGAAGTCTTCAGCCTCACATGTCACTGAAGGACCAATATTTACTTGGTTGAGTCCATTCTCAGTTGTTGATGTTAGAGGAGATCAATGGTAAACTGGTGGATGCTGTAGTACATGGAGGGGAGGACATAGGTTGACGATAGCCTCTTTTGTGCAAAGTACCTATCTAAATATAGGATTTTATGGGTATGCAGTCCTTAGTACAAAACACAGAAGTTTCAAATTACAAATATGATGCAGAGCCAAAATAATTAAATCAATACGGAAGGTTTTAACCTATTTTTATTCTTCAACCTGCTCTTGTGTGCTATCAACTGATTTTCCAGAATTAATAAAAACTCAACCAGAATAATGGATAATCAAAGAGTAATTTTTATTTTAAAGAAGAAATTTGTAGGAGCCATGACTCAGCTGCCCTCCATACAATTCTGCTTTTGTTGCAATCGTTGCAAAAACCTGATTGTGTATGTCTGAAGTAAATTTTACTGAGAAGTTGATTTTGTTATTGTTGTTTTCTGTTTGTAATGTAGCTACTATGCCCTTATTTACAAAAAGGCATTTACGTTTCACAAGCATGTCTGACAGTCCAATGTGGTGATTTTTTAAGATGAGATGTGAGACAGAAGAGCACAGACCTAGGCTTATTGACAATGGTGCTAAGTTGAAAGCTTGTGCTTTTCTGGAGTAACAACCCTCTGATTGCTCTCTTTCCATCTTGGTTTAAATTCCCTTACTATGCAATTTTATTTTAAAATTAAATATATATAGTTCAAAAGTCAAAGCAATATAAAGAGGTACACATGTCTTGTTACTGCCCCGTCTCTCCACACTGTTCCTACTTACCCTCTATAGGTAACTTTTTAAAAAAGCTTCCTTTTAAGTTTTCTTTAGGCATAAACAAGCATATATAAATAAACAGTCTTGCTTTTCTTAAAAAAGGGTTGCAAACTATACATACTCTTCTGTACACCTTGCTTTTTTCACACACAATTCTGGAGGTCCCTACAGATCAGTTTATGGAATTCTTCCTTATATGGGTGGATGTATCACACACTGTTTAACCAGTACACTGTGCTGGACACTGGAGTTATATCTAATGTTTTATTATTACAAACCCTGCTGCAACAATCTTGTATATATGCCATTCTGTATATGTGGCATTATATCTGTAGGAGTTATTCCGAGAAGTGAGATTAGTGGATCAAATGATGAATGCATCTATACTTTTGGTAAATACTGCCAGATTACCTTCAGGGTGCTGTGCTAGTCTGCACTGCCCACGGTAGTGTATGATAGTCCCTGATTGCCAACAGAATCTTGGCAACAGTGTGTAATGCCAGAAAAGTACAATCTTTCTATTTGAGACAGGGGGCATCTCTCAAGAAAATCTTGTGATTCACAGGAATTTGCCTTACATTCTGAGAGAAATGAATTTCTAGACCGACAAAAGTGCAGAAGATATTAGAACGAGGATATAAAAGCTTTTTGACTTTTTGTCAATGTGGTGGATAAACAACAATAACTTACTATAATTCAAATGTACATTTTCCTTATTTTGCATGAGGTTTTTACATGTTTAAGGACTGTTCCTATTTCTTCATTTTCCAACTGCCCAGTAATTTCTTCCACTCCTTTTTCTGTAAGTTTCCTTTTCTATAGAATCATTTTCATTCAATTTTTAAGAGCTTTTTTTAGGGAGGTTAACATTTTGTCTACGATGAAATTTGCAAAAATTTCCCAGTTTACCAATTATTTTTTGACTCAGCTTATTTTTTTCAATGTTCGCTCATGCCATTTATAGACAAAAACCGAAAATAAGTCTTGATAAAGATTCTAAAAATTAGGTCGCAGGGCCAGATATCAGTGGCACAGAAAGCACAGTGCCTTGAAACACCATTATTGCTGGAATAGGGGCATCAGGTAAGAATTGGAAGCATGGACACAAAGTTGCTGTTCCTTGCAAAGTTTACTGGTTTTCCAAGAAATTGCTGGGACAGAGGTGGATAGCACCTCCTCTGCCTCCTTTAGGTGTGCCTTCTTCAAAATTACACCCAGGATCAGCTGGCGGCTTCAGAAAAGCAAAGAAAATAAGGATTTGTTCCAAAAGCTAGCAACTGGCAGGGCATTCTAGTTCTGGTAAGCCGTACATACCTCACAAGCATGCAGACAGACAAGTATGAGCAAACACAGATGCCCCAGGATGGGACTGAACAAGTGTTTTTGTAGAGGAGAACAAATGATGCCAATCACCTCTCTCTCTCTGTTAGGTTAGTGAACTGAGGTTAAGGAGCCTATAACGGCAGTGTTGTTGAGTAAAGGGTAGAATTCTTGTTTTCCTCGAGCTTATGATATCTCAATTTAACTTCATAAATGGCAACATTATAGCAAAGTATCAAACATGCTTCTTACTAAGGGTCAACCACAGAAGTGGTAGAGAACAGAGAGTGATGTCTCATTAGAGCCTGATTTTGGAAACAAACGATAATTGAAAATAGCATTCTTGAGAATTTCTAAAATCATGAAGTATTGTCTATTTTAAGAAATAAGAATCTACTTACTCAGATAGGAAATCTGCATGATAGTAGTAATCTGAAAGTTTATCCAGGAAAGAACGGGGTTCCAAAATAAATGTAGGCAGAACCACCTTGGATAGGTCCATGCCAGGACGGACTTGTTTCAATAGTGTCCAGATAAGGCTTTTGTTTTCTTCAGATACAGTTTCTGTTTGAGAAGCCTCACCTGCCTTTATCAATTAATGAAAATTACCAAAACATTATATTTATTTCAGACAGATATGTAAACAAGCCAGCTAATGTTGAAAATATGAACTCTTCTCAGGACTACTCCAAGCATTCTTTAAATGTGGAAACAAAAAATAATAATAAAATCTATAGCTATAAAACTTAGGTAAAAAAGGGTAGCTGAAAAAGACATCAAAGTGAACAATATATACAAGAGATCCACTACAAAAATATTATAGCCTATTATTTTATACTACATTTACTTCTATGATGCACTGGCAATAACAAAGTTATAAACTCACGTTTCCTTGCAACTTTGCACCTGGCAATGACATCAAGCAATATCCTACTTCAAAATCAAGCTTGAAGAAAATGTAAACTTTAAATTTAATAGAATATATTGGTATTTATGTGAGTATATGTGTTTAGTTGTTTGTAAATCCCAATATATTTCATATGTATGCAATTTTTAAAATATCACATTCTATCACAGAAAAATAGGCAATAGATCAAGCAAATAATATCTTCAATTTCATTTAAGAATTCCCAAGAATATGAAAATCCAGAACCTCTAAAAATAGCAGACTTTTACCTCTCCAAGTTCTTCATGGCTCTGTTCAGTGTAGGTAGTCTCCTTTAAAGGCTCAACAGGCTCAGGTTCGATATATGAGTCATCTTGTCTTTCTGATGTATCTGTGTCACTTTCTTCACTTTTCCCCATCACCTCATTATCAGACTCATCATGTTCTTGATCATTTTCTTTATCAGATTTATCAGAATACATATCTTGGTCCTTAAAATGTTGTCGTTCAATTTCACTATCATTTAACCTTAAGGGAAAGAATTTTTAGGAGGAAGAATCAAGGATGTTAAGAATGCTCAATTCATAAATAATAATTATATACAACATTTATTGAGAATTTACTATGTGCCAGACAGTGTTCTAAGTGTTTTACATAGTGTTAATTCACTTAATCTTCAAAATAACCCTATGAGATAGGTAGTATTATTATTCTCATTTTACAGATTAGTAAACAGAGGCATAGAAAAATTAAAAACCTAGAGAAATGCAAAAAGATGACACTCTGAGCTCTTTGCCTCTCTACCACTTGGGGCTAAAATCCTCCAAAACCAAGAGTTTAGACTTCTTGTTAGATATTTTTCTTAGTTTTTCAAACAGCATCACTTGCATCAATCTCACTGTCACTTATGGTATGAAGAAAAAATGCAGGTCCAGATAATCAGATTCTCAACTGAACTCAAATAAATTATGACTTTCCACCTGTATAAGAAGGTTTCCAAAGTCACCTCACATGAGTCCAAGAAAAATATATGAAAATGGTAAATGATAAACAATTATATTAAATTCTATTCGTCTGAAAGGTTTAATCCTGAGCCAAAATCCAGAGAGAATTAAAAATGAAAATTTCAGCTGAAAGAAATTAACCTATGGACTAAAATCAAGTAAGTTTTGCTTAATCTACCCTATTCTCACTTAAAGTGATTAGGGCAAAAAATCTGTACAAAAGGGGGAAAGTCTTGGAAAGAGGTTCCAACAAATACCCATTCCTCTATCAGTAGCCCACCCCATTCCATCCTATCTCATTCGGGCACCAGGTACTTGGGATTAAGATAAAGCTCCAGATCGTAGGTCTGCAAAGAAATAACATAAAAGGTCAGGTAATGGAGATTTTAAAGAGAGTGGGGGAAAAAAGAAAAGAAAAAAAACCTGGGCAACATAGTGAGACTATGTCTCAATAAATAAATAAATAGATAAGCCAGCCAGCCAGCCCAGTGTGGTAATACAGGCCTGTAGTTCTCACTACTGGGCAGGTTGAGACTGGAAGATGGCTTGAGCCCAGGAGTTCCAGGTTACAGTGAGCTATGATTGTGCCACTGCACTGCAGCCTGGGCAACAGAGTGAGTCCCTGGCTCTAAAAAATTTTTTAAAGTAATACAGACAGAAAAAAAAAAGAAACAAGCAAAATGATAGGGAAGAAATGTCTAAATCAGGCAATATGAAGAAGAGGAGAATAGCAGTCTAACTTTGAGAAGAGCAACCTCAATGCTGATGAAAGTGGTTACAGAGCAGAAGCCAAGGGGTGGGGACAGGGAGGAAATAGAAAAGTCTAATGTTTTTCCTGCAAAGCAACAAAAAGACCTGAATCTCAAGAAAGTCTTTGCACTACTGCCCAGTTTCCTTGGAGAAATGCTTTTTTAGTGTTAACTACAATAAATGCTTCAGGGAATAAAACCACAAATAGGATACAGTTCCATTCCAAACAGAAATATAAATGAATTTCACAAATACCAGGTAGAGTTAAGTCCAGTGCCATTACTAAAAACATGTTACTCTATAGAAAGACAGATTATGTCTCATAGTTATAAGGTTTCACACATGATGTAATATTTGAGACTGATCTTGAAGAATATATAGACAGGAGAAAAGCGTAAGGAGGAGTAGGCAGAAATCATTCTTAATAGAAGGGACATCATGCACAGACAAGGTGAATAATTAGCATGGCTATATTTGGGAAAGATAAAGTAAATCACGTTGGCTGGAATCAAGGAAATACATTTCTACACCTGATTATAGCAGCTAAACAAATTTTAAGCCGGTTCCTAGGCCATATAATGGGAAGATATGCAAATTTCAGTCCTAGATACACTACTAAAATTCTAGGCCTGCCAACTAATTTTGTGAACAGTATGGTCTCTGAAACATTACCAACTCAGCGGCAGTATCTACTTACTGGAAGTTATCACCACTGTGGAGATTGTTAGCACGTAGTAAGCCATAGAAAGTCACATGTGTGCTATCTGATGAAACGCTCAGGTCATGTTCCTTTCCTTCTCTGATCATTGTACGTTTAAGAAGACTAGAACATTTCAAAGCCAACTCCAAAGCATCCATCCAGCACCTTCCTAAAAGAACACAGATTCATAAGCACTATAATTTTTAAAACTATGAAACTAGCATGCATCTTAACTTACCCTGTTACCACTATTTCTTTGAGAAACATGCACTGGAAAAGTTAATCTGAACATAACATCTTGCTAGAATTTAATGAAATCTTTCCGTTTTTCAAATGCTTTTCACATACTAAGCACACCACTGATAAATGAATAGTATACAGCATGCATTAGAAACTATACCCAATCTAAAATAAACATACTTTATTTTTCAAATCTTAGAACATTAACATGCAGTATAATTTGAAGGTATCAAGCAAGGTACATAAAATACACTTGAGGATTTATGATTCTACTACAAACAAACTATCTGAAGTAACTGTTTTTGTTAATAGGAGGTCTATCCTCAAGATTAACAACCATTCTACTTGTATGTATGAAACTTTTTAAGTCAGGAAAATGCCTGCATAATGCTACCATTAACTGCCATATTAGTTAAGAGAAACATTAATAGTTTTATTTTTTAAGTAAAAATTTAAAAGTGAATTAGCAGAAAACTTTTCATTTATATTTGTTTAGGGCTCTTAATTTTCATATATATCACTTCAAGATTTGCTGGGAATATCAGCCAAGTAAAGCATCTTCATATTGAAAGCTCATACCTATATTTTAATTTAAAAAAATCATCGGCCAGGCGCGGTGGCTCACGCCCGTAATCCCAGCACTTTGGGAGGCCGAGGCAGGCGGATCACGAGGTCAGGAGATCGAGACCATCCTGGCTAACACAGTGAAACCCTGTCTCTACTGAAAATACACAAAAATTAGCCGGGTGTGGTGGCAGGCGCCTGTAGTCCCAGCCACTCGGGAGACTGAGGCAGGAGAATGGCGTGAACCCGGGAGACGGAGCTTGCAGTGAGCCGAGATCGCATCACTGCACTCCAGCCTGGGCGACAGAGTGAGACTCCGTTTCAAAAAAAAAAAAAAAAAAAAAAAAAATCTGAGGCCAGGTGCGATGGCTCACGCCTGTAACCCCAGCACTTTGGGAGGCCGAGGCAAGCGAATCATGAGGGCAAGAGTGTGAGACCATCCTGGCCAACATGGTGAAACCGTCTCTACTAAAAATACAAAAATTAGCTGGGCGTGGTGGCATGTGCCTGTAATCCCAGCTACCCGGGAGGCTGAGGCAGGAGAATCACTTATACCAGGGAGTCAGAGGTTGCAGTGAGCCGAGATCGTGCCACTGCACTCCAGGCTGGCAACAGAGCGAGACTCCATCTCAAAAACAAAAACAAAACAAAACAAAAAAAATCAGATAAAAGTAAACTTTGGAAGGTTAGAAGATTCCCTATACCAACCTTGTCTAAACTATGAAACATGAAAGCATGAAAGTGAGGACAAAATCCATTATTAATTATTAAGATTTTAAAGTTACCTTGATATCATTTAAGTTTTTCTCTCTCCATATTTGCTTCATGAATTAAGTGTTAAAGGAGGAATAAAAAAGGTTGTACTCGAATCTCTTACATAAAAAAAAACAAAACCAAAACAATGTATATGTCTCATAAATGGTAACATTTAGTAGTAAAATATAAAAAGTATTAAATATATCTTTAAGAGTACCATAAAGACCACTAACAAATAAAAAGGTGTTAATATGTCCATGGAGGATGAAGAAGAAAACTCTGAACTGCTAACTCTTCAGTAAATCACACAATGCTTCCTTTCTATCAGATTTTTGTCTATTAAGTTACTCATATATTTAGCATTCAAAACAATTTATGATTACCATGCTTCTGCTGCAAATGCCATACTAAAAATATATTTCCCCAGAATAATACAAAGTGGCATTAAAAAAACTCTTAAAAATGAAGACCAAAATCCAATCCATCAAAAACTATACTTACCATCTGACTCTGAAGTAGCTCGGATGATCAAATAACTGCTAGGTAAGGGTTGAGTAATGGATCCAACCGCTTCACCTTTTGGACCCTTAATAACAAAATAAACAAAATAAATGGTATAGAGTAATTATTATGAGATCTCATCTTTACACTATCCAATATTATCTGTAATAATCTAAATCAGGTATGGATTATAATCTAAAGGCAAATGAGCTTTAATTTCATCATTCTTGAGAATGCAAATGTTAAGTATTAAGAAAAATTTTCTAACAAATATATCTCCTTAGCAGAAAACTGAACAAATGAATTATCACTTAAATATTATCTCTACATACTGCTTACATACTAAAGAGAACCTAAAGTTTACCATATTAAACCAAATTTTAACAATGTCCATCCCATGGATACAACTAATGAGATAAGAAATACTAAATTTCTAGAAGGCTAAAGAAAGCATGTGGAAATAGAATTATAATTTAAAAAAAGAGAAATGAACTTTAACTGGGTCTAGGGAAAAATAAATCTCCACTTTATAACCAATGACATACACCTGTTTTTAAACACCAACTATATAAGCTGATTTTATTTTTCCAGAAACATGAAAGAAAAAGAAATTCTGTCGTTGTTGTTGGCTAGGGTTGTTTGTTTTAGAAGTATACAATACCAACACTAATTAGTATCACCAATGCTAAACTTAGGTAGACACGAATCTGGAAAGAAAACTAAGTACTGAATTTAAAGTATAATTTTGATACAAAAGCATAATTTTTAAGTTGTTTTCAAAGGGTTCTTTAAAGTTATTAGGTCAAAAAATGAAATAAATTTCCAAAAAGCATAACATTAGAAAGTAAAGATGTAGATTCAAAACGAAAACAGAAAAAAAATTTAATATGACTTTAACAAATACCGTAATAATCTGCATTTTCAAATAGCTTTACAATTTATGGGCCAGTTCCTAAAACCAGTATATAGTGGGACATGGAATCAGACTGCCTGGGTTTCAATCATGGCTCCATGCTAGAAAAACAGGGTTCAATCTCTTTATGTGTACAATGGGAAGAAACTGTATCCTCCTTATAGGTATGAGAATTAAATAAATGATTTCATGTAAAATATTCAAGTACCTGACACAAAGAACTCATAGCTGTTACTATTTCTTAATCACAAACACTGGCTTCTAAAATATTTAAACAATATCCTAAGTAGGTTTTGCTTGTGGGAAGTATTTATATAATTATACAGATTTCTCTCTTCTTCCAATATTAAGAATTAAATATTATAAATTTGACATTAAAATCATTAATGGCTTAAAAATTTATTTTAATGCTTGCAATTCCTAAGAGTAGTAGAATACTATATATATATATACATATATGTGTGTATATATAGTATTTTTGTATATGTATATATATGGTATTTATATGTATGTTTATATATATATTTTTTGTTGTTTAAAAAGGTTTTGAAAGTCGTTTTCTCCACTTGAGAATCGCTTAATATATAAATGTCAGAGGTTCGGGGGGTTAAATTCTTTCCCCTGCAGGAAGCACCTAACCTCAGAATGGAACTAACTCGGTGATCCCAAATGTATTCTCGCTGTGACTCCCGACTACTGAAATAACGATTAAAAAGTCCAAGTCTTTTCCTAGGTGTATGTGTATTACGTTATTAAGCAATACCCTCCCCGCCCAAGAAAAAAGGATTAAGCTACTTTTAGTTAACCGTAATCTCAATTAGTTGGTTTTCCCTAAAGGAGAAATTCTACCTTCTTTATTCTACGATAGCTGGCCTTCTTAGAAACTAAAGCAATGATCATTTCGTAAAAACTTAAACTAGGCTAGGCATGGTGGCTCACATCTGTAATCCCAGCACTTTGGGAGGCTGAGGCAGGAGGGCCCAGGAATTCAAGACCAGCCTGGGCAACACAGAAAGACCCCATCTCTACAAAAAATGTTTAAAAAAATTAGCTGAGCATGGTGATACGTGCCTGGGGTCCTAGCTACTTGGGGGGCTGCGGTGGGAGAACTGCTTAAGCACGGGAGGTTGAGGCTGCAGTGAGCAATGATCATGCCACTGCAGTCCAGCCTAGGTGACAGTAAAACCTTGCCTAAAAAACACACATACATACACAAAACCACTTAAACTTGATTCATTTATTCAGTTAGTATAATGCTTGTTTGTTTTTTTTGAGACAGGGTCTTGTTCTGTTGCCCAGGCTGAAGTGCAGTGGCACGCTCATGGCTCACTGAAGCCTCCTCGACCTCCCAAGCTTAAGTGATCCTCCCACCGCAGACTCCTGAATAGCTGGGACTACAGGTACATGCCACCATACTTGGCTAATTTTTGTATTTTTTGCAGAGACAGGGTTTCACTATGTTGCCCAGGCTGGTCTCGAACTCCTGAGCTCAAGCGATCCAACTGCCCTGGCCTACCAAAGTGCTGGGATTATAGGAATGAGCCACTGCACCCAGCCACAGTAATGCTTTGCAGTTATAAAAAACATTAATGCTTCATCTTTAAAGAAACCTGCCTCTTTCTCAAGAGTAAGTAATTAAAAAAAATTTTTTTTTTTAAGAGTAAGAAAGATTGCTTCTGCTTATAGGCTTTACATCACTACAGGAAAGACCATAAAAATAAATGGCAGTTTCTGTTCCAGGGAATCCTACTTACCATTTTGACAAAGAGAAAAATCACAGGGGGTGGGGAGGGGGGGTGGGGGCAGGTGGGTGGGAAAAAAAAAACCAACAACAATAAATATAATACAATGTTACAAAGCCGAGTTAGTAATTAGAAACTGAAAAAAACAGTACAAATTGAATCCCCAAGGGCAAAAGAGATAAAAAGATGCAATATAAAAAGTTAGACCTCAAAGGTAAAGCTTTTTGGTGCACATTTTGTTGTGGGTAGAGGCAGAATGGGGGAATAATGCAATGGAAAGCAGAACAGATTTATAAGTCCTGGCAGAGGACTAAACTCATTTGATTGATGTATCTCAGTTCTATTCATGGATTATCATCTTTACCTTTCACCTATGTAACAAGGGCTTACATACCTTCACTGCCCAAATAGATTGCTCCAAAGGATGGAAAAGTTTGAAACAAAAGCCATCCTTTTTTGATGGACGTTCAATGATTTCACAGGCATTCAGAAGAACTGTTCCTACCCACTGACCATTTTTTTGGGTTTTATAGATCAGTAGCACCCCAGGTTTCAACACACACCATAACTTGGTCCAGCTCTTTAGAGTACCACGAATCTACAGAAAGATAAATTTATTTTAAAAAGGAAGATCTGTTCTCCAAGGTCCAAACGAAAATACTGCAAATAAGATGTTTTAATCTAAAATTTCCATAACACGTACACTTTAAATATTTTATTTAAAAGCTACTACATGGCAAGCACAGCAAACAGACATGAAAATGACATGGCTCTTATTTCTAAGAAACTTAAATTTTAGTGGGAGACAGGCCAACAGTTTCAAAGTAGTGTACTAAGTAGGATAATTTTCCTAATCTCCCTGACCAGGTCAGGGGCCATTAAAATATGCTTTCTTAGTACTGATATTCTTCTTTTTCTAACACTGATCATGGCTGTAATCTTATTTGTGTGCATATGATGATTCTGCTTAAAACAATTTTTCCCCTTCACCACATCAACAGTGCTGAAAACACTGCTGGCACACACTAGGCATTCCCTAAGTATTTGGTGAGTGGTAGGAAGAGAAAATAACTTCCTCCTAGCCCCTAAAATTACCTTATTCAAATTACTTTGTTCCTAGTAATTACATAAAGTATGCCATTTAAATTTATTGGAGGATATTTTAAAATCAAGTTACATGAATCCCTATACTCTCATAAAATGTTCTTCATCCTAGGGTTTAATGCTATGTCAATAGTAAGTCTAAAACTACTTTTTCTATAAATTTCTATTTCCATCATCTATTAAAATGGTGTCTATGCAATTCAGTGAATTCAAAATAGTGAAAGGATGTTAATATTTAGATCAAAAATAAGAATTATACTTTTACTGTAAAACATCTGTTATTTCAATGCACCTACATGAAGTATGAAATAATACAGGATTCCTTAATCCCCCAAATAGGCGTATCACAGTAACTCTCAACAAGAAACATTTAGAAAGAAGGAGTTGGGAGCCAGGCATGAAGAAAAGAGAAAATCTAAGATACATGTATATGTAAAAGAATGGTAAGACAAGAGAGGCGAAAGGGAGATAGGTACCCTGAAATAACATTTTGGATCATGGAGATGCAACAGAACATGGAGGACAAATTATCAGAAGGAAGGTAAGGCAGAGAAAGTCAGCCAGGCCAGGCAACGTGTTGGGGACTTAACAGAGGGCAGCTTTAACTCTGAAAAACCTAAGTGAGATCTTGAGCTAATGCACTTCTAAGTAGAGTCAAAACAAGTTGGAAGGTGTTATTAGCACAAGATCGAAAACCCTAGAATTAGTTAACTGAATTGTCAGGGAAACTATCACTAGACTCTCATTTTAGTGAGGGGAGTCCTATGACAGATTTCATAAGGATTATGAGGTCAGAGGCCTTAGTAAGTCTTGGCAAAAGTGGGTTGGGGTGATTCTCAGGTACATGCCAAGTACTAAAATTTTCTGTGAGTCAGAGTCCTACGAGATCACTCTTAAACTCAGGATTCCTACAGCTGTCTTTCAGATAAGAATGAGAAAGAGGATAGAGTGACCAGGATGAAAGAAAAGGAAAGAAAAATAACCAGAGGCCAAAAGAATAGGGTCTGGAAACAGCAATGTGTGCTTGTCTGATAATTAACAATTTTCATTTTTTAACAATATATTATGTATCCAACTGATTATTTTAAAATAGCTTTTATATTAAGTTTGTCTCATCC